>NC_000004.12:116497138-116648653 GCF_000001405.40 Homo sapiens
GCAATGGTGTCTGAGCATCATGACTATTGCTACCAGTTCAGTTATTGCATATTTGGTCTTACCTAGAAAGTAGCACCTTGTTTTAACACCTGTGCCGCAGACATATTTTAATAGAGCCCCTTAAGTTTCTGCAGCCTGCTTCCGTCTTATATTTCTTCCTCCCAAGGTTTGAAACCATTATTTAAGAACCTCAATTGAGTAGCAAAAGAATTCTATCCACTAAAAGTCTTCTATGATAAGATTATTATCTATTATGTGCCCTTGAGTTGCTATTATCATATAGCACCTGAATATCACGACACTCATAGTTATGAGTTGAATTGTATTCCCCCAATATATGCTGAAGTCCTAGTCCCTAGTACTTGTGACTGTAAACTTCTTTGAAAATAGGGTTTTGTAAAATAATAATGTAAATTCTTTAGGGCATGCCCTTATCCGATGTGACCAGTGTCTTTATAAGAGGGAAATGTGAACACTGTGACACACAAGGAGAACATCATATGACCAGAGAGGCAGAGATTAGAGTGATGGCAATGCAAAACAAAGAACACTAAGGATTGACAACTACCAGCACAAGCTAGGAAGAGGCACAGTCTACCCAGTCTCAGACCTCAGATCCTTTCCCTGCCCACAGTTTGATTTTGGACTTCTAGCCTCCAGAGCTGTGAGAAAATAAATTTCTGTCATTTGAAGCCACGCAGCTTGTAGTGCTTTTTAATGTAGCTTCAGAAAACAATACATTTATCTTAAAAATTATTTTTTATCTATCTATGATCTCTCTCTGTCTCTTCTCTCTCTTTCTCTCTCTCTCTCTCTCTCTCTCCATCTGTCCCCAAATAGCAGCATAGTTTTTCTGAATTGTGTTTTGCAGACATGGAATAAAAAGTGATGCTTACATGTATCTTAATTTGTAAAAGAAAATATTTAAAATGTTCATTCTTTGTTCCACAAAATTAACTTGCAATTCAGTGAACTGTGAGAAAGAGTTCATTGGGATAAACTGCTAAAAAAAAAAAAAAAAAAAAGCTTTGCAGTTGCATAGCCAGAAATAATTTCATTTTTACTCACTAGTTAAGAAAGCATGAATTAGTTCAAGATGAAATCTTCAAACTGCTATAGCAGAAGCTTACACCATTTCTTTATTTTCATTAACTAAAACTTGTGGAACTCCTTTAAAGCAGAATATATTAATATTAAAACACTATCCTGCATGTAGAAGCCAAAGCTTAACAAATATTTTGAATGAAAAAGAAATTCATACTTCATAAAGACATTGATTTTACTCTAATAAAATTAATCAAGAAAATAAAAAAAACAAAAAAAAAAAGTTTTTTTTGACCTTAGGACCTTTAACAAAAAGGTTTGTTACTCTTTTCTTCTGCACAGGTGGACTTACATAATTTTAAGATTTTGTAATTAATAACTTGAGGATGAAATGTCCTCTTTCAGTCTAATAATTTTCTTGGCAAATAAACAGAAAAACAACAGCATTAAATAACTTTGGTGTGAGCAAATATATATGACAAATAAAATGAAAATAAATATGACAAAGATTTCAGTTTTCTTATTCTTGTAGTCTATAACAGAAAATACTTTAGAGCCTGTACAGTAATAGAGCTACCAGAAGGAATACCAATGATGATTTTGACCAAGTGGCATTTATGGATATTGATGCATTCTATAGAAAGAGATTTGTGAGAAAGTTATGTGAGGAATATTGTCATTTTTCTTGTAAAAAAATAAATGTATCACTGTCTTCTTGTTCTTGCCAACATTTTACAGACTTTGGTTTTCAAGGTATATGTCTGTTATTGCCAGGCAATAAATTTAAAGATTTTTTAAATCTTAAAAATACAATTTCTAATTACTGCATGCCCTCCATAGAGTGGAGATCATTAATTGATTTTCATTAAATAACATCATCATAAGAGACAGCTGTCCACTTCCAGTTTATGATCCAAGCTCTACTTTAGATTTAATATACAGAAAATGTTTTTCACTTAGGAAAGGAAGTTTGCACTTGCAATTCCAGCTACTCAGGAGGCTGAGATGGGAGGATCACTGGAAGTCAGGAGTTTGGGACTGGCCTGAGCAACATAGTGAGACCCAGGCTCAAAAAAAAAAAAAAAAAAAAAAAAAAGAAAAAAAAAGAAAAGAAAAGAAAAAGAAAAAGAATAAGAAAAAATTAGCTAGGTGAGGTGGTGAGCACCTGTAGTCCTAGATACTTGGGAGGCTGAGGCAGGAGGACCTCTTGGGGCCAGGAATTTGAGGCTGCAATGAGCTATGATCGTGCCACTGCACTGCAGTCTGTGCAAAGAGTGAGACCTTGTCTCTTAAAAAAATAAAACTAAGGCCGAGGCGGGCGGATCACGAGGTCAGGAGATCGAGACCATCCTGGCTAACACGGTGAAACCCCGTCTCTACTAAAAATACAAAAAATTAGCCGGGCGTGGTAGCGGGCGCCTGTAGTCCCAGCTACTCGGGAGGCTGAGGCAGGAGAATGGCGTGAACCCGGGAGGCGGAGCTTGCAGTGAGCCGAGATCGCGCCACTGCACTCCAGCCTGGGCGACAGAGCGAGACTCCGTCTCAAAAAAAAAAAAAAAAAAAAAAAAAAAAAAAAATAAAACTAAAAGAAAGGAAAAAGAAAACACTCTAGCACTAATCAGAATCTGGAACTGTTTTTTTTTCACCTAGTTTCAGATTAACATTGCATGATCAAATAAAATTCAGCATCAGAAAATGTTTTGTATAATTTGCAAATAGAAATTTCAACATTACTGCAATAAATGTTTACCTAGTGTATGTATATACTGATAAATATCAATGTATATTCATTTTAGCTATAGTATTTTAGAAAATCAAATGAACTGTTTGTGTACAATTTTAATAATATAAAATATAGAAATTCTACTCATTTGCTTTTATTTTTAGAGGGAGTTATAATTTTTATGATAAAATATAAATAGGAATTTTTTTATTACAATGCTCATCCTAACAGTATGCCATTCTATTTCATTATTTCCTTGGATGATCACTTTTCAAATATATTAATCACCTTGTAGCCAAAATCACAAAAAGGATTTTTACTCTTAACATTAAATAAAACTTTGCCATAGTCTGGCTTCTATGATGGATGTAATAGGATATCTAAAATCATCTTGAAATGAGAGCAGAGAATTATATACCTGAGTTTCGTAGATTGACAACCTCACTACAAATGATATTAGATGGATCATCTGGGAAGATCTGATAGTTGTTTTAGTTACGAATTTGGCAGATGATTGGCAAGAAGCAATAATACAGAGTTCACTGGATGAGTGTGGGGAATGATGCAAGGGCTGTCAGTTCTAACTGTTGTTATTACATGTCAGAGGCAGAATTTTAATCCCAGTTTAATAAATTGTACCAAACACAATACTAATAATATGCAGACTGCTTTCATGAGAAGGTCATGGTCCTTAATGTGATATTAAGGCACAGTGTAGGAAATTTTTCTTCTTCCAAATTTTTTTTCCAACGTGTGTGTGTGTGTGTGTGTATTTCAAGTTGGTCAGAAAAGGCAAAAAGAAACATACTAACAATTGACTTAGCCCTATGCCAATAATTTCATTTTTTTCTTTGTATGTGAACATTTAAAATAATGAGGTAAATAAATGGACAGCAACACTACTCATCTATCAGTATTTTTCTGCAATTAATTTTTTAAAAATTTGGACTTTTAAATTAGTACTCTATGAGGATTTGGGCTATCTCAATAATTTCCAGTCTCTGCCACATATTATTTCCACTCATTTTTTATCAAGGTTAAATATCTCTAATACAAAAATAAAATGCAATTAAATTTTAATTCTATTTAAATTCTTCTCCAGACAATCACTTCTTTTGTTTCAATTACAGTACAATATAGAAACAGTTACTTGCCTATAGGACATCTCTACTTACATACCCATACACACTTAAAATCACACTTAAAATATTCAAATTGAATTTATCCCACTGAAACAGCCTGAAATTCTGTATTCCCATCCCACTGAATGCTGCCTTACTCTGCCCATTTACTTATCCTGAAATCTGGGAGTTAGAATTCATTCCTTCTTTTATATACCCCATAAGCAATCAAACTCTAAGTCGCATATATTATGTTGTTAAAATTTCTTTCAAATATATGTTGTTTTATGCATCCTGCCATTGTCTTGTTTAGGAAAGAGTGAACTCTTCTTATCTAACTAGTCTTCCTGACTCCAGGCTGTCTACCCACTTCTCAACTCATTCTCATATCTTCAGCCAGGGTGACTTTTTGAAAGCAATGTTTAAAATGACGTCCTTTAAAAAATGAATCATCATTGTCCTTAGAATAATGTGTAAAATTTCATATAGACCTGTCTACTTCTCTAGCTTGATCTTTGCTATCATTTCCCTTATTATCTTCATTTTCACTTTATAAATGCTTAAGCTGTAGAAAAATGCTTTAATATCTCTTACACTAGAGTGCTTATTTTTTTATCCTTCCTCCCTCCCTCACTACCTACCTCTTTCTTTCTTTCTTTCTTCCTTCCTTTCTTTCTTTCTTTCTTTCTTCTTTCTTTCTTTCTTCCTTTCTTCCTTTCTTTCTTTTCCTTCCTTCCTTCTGAAAGAAAAATATGTTTTTAAAATAATATCATGGTTTTTATCTATCTTTCTGTCAATTTTTAGTTGAAATCTCTTCCTTCTGGAACTCTTCTATAAGTAGATGACTTATTATGGGCTGAGTTTGGTTCTCCCCCAAAAGATATATTGAAGTCCCAACCTTCAGTACCTCAGCATGTGGCCTTATTTAGAAATAAGGTTGTTACAAATGTAACTGGTTTAGACAAGATTATACTGGAGAAGAGTAGGCTCTTAATCCAGTTTGACTAGTGTCCCTATCAGAAGAGAAGAGAGACACACAGGGAGAGCACCGGTGAAGACATGTTCAGAGATTGAACTGCTGTATCTGCAAGTCAAGGAGAGCCTGGGGCTATCACAAGCTGGGAGAGGCAAGGAAGCACTGTCTCACTGAGGCTTGAGAGGAGAGCATGACGTCATCAGCCAGTTATGGTGGCCCAGGAAACTAAATGCGCCTCTATCTTAGATCCTCTTTTAGCATTTGCCTTTTTTTAACCTCTACCGATTATAATTTCAGTTTAGAAGACTAAGAATTTCTTTTTTATTCATTCAATATACCCAGGGTAAAGAGAGTATTTGACAACCCCAAATAATAATTCAATAAAGATTCAAATATGATTCATAAAGACACAAAAATTGGTATTTTTGATTATATGAGTGAATAATGGCGTTACTAAGAATACGTATCTATGAGTGTGTTTACTATGTATATATGTATGTACCTGTGTGTGTATACATACATTTTTTACACTAGGTAACACATCATACATTCTGCAAGTAGAAATCAAATGTTATTTTCTCTAAAAAAATAAAAAGAAGGATATAAAAATAGTCACAAAATGAAATAGCTATTTAAAATTATTGGATCCCATAATATTGGTGTTTCTAAACTCATTATAATATGATGGACAAACGTAGTCTCATGTGGGGGGAAAAAAGGTGAAAATAAGTAAAAAGTAAAAATGAAGCACCACTAAATGTTCTCCCAGAATAGCTAAAAATTGTAAAATCCAAGGAAACTGAATGCTAGCAAGGATGCAGCAAAGTAACTTTCTTATGAGGCAACTACCCTGGAAAAGTTGAGCATTATGTCATACACATAGTCTGTGATCCAGCCTTTTTACTCCTAGAAATATAATTTGGAGAGATTGGTGTATATTTTCACCAAGGTACATATTCAAATATGTTTATAATAGCATTGTTTATAACAACTAAATAATGACCAATCTTCTCAGGGGTTTACTCTGGCAGATGGGCCATTGGAATACACAATTTTCCACCGGACCCCTCATCCCTGTGTGGACCGGCTCAAGCCTACTCACATGGTGGCCACGGGATTCTTAGGGTCAAGAGAAATCAGGCAAATCCTCGCCAGGCACATGTGCAGAACGATAACACTATCGCCTCTGCCACTTTCACATTCAGGATATAAAGAATGTTCTTTTACAGTGAAAAATATGTTTAATTTCATCATTTTCTACTGTTAAATATTTTTAAAATTGTGGATGAGTACAAAATATTTTAAAATTATACTGGATTGTTTTAAGAGCAAACATGTTTATTATCTTAGAATGTTGTTAAACTTTTTAATTCTAGAAGATATTTTAAAATTATTTATAATAATATCTCAGCATATTGGAATGTTATGCTGGAAGAACAATTTTACCAGAATGTGTGATTTGATGTCACATATTAGATGAATAATATTATATCTGCTGATAATTGGGTTCATTAATTCATTGTATAAGACACTTCTAATAGGAAGCAAATCAAACATATGAAAATTATTATAATTTTGTTTACTAAAAATATCAAAATAATAGTCAACATACCTTTTGTCTACACTATAATTTCAATTAAAACATGATTTGTTTATTTTTAAAATTTATGAAATTTATTCAAAAATGAATGCTTATCCATGCAAAACAGGGTAGAACAATCTAGAAAAGCATATCCATGGATGTCCCATATTTAGCCATATTTGGTTTATTGGTCAGAGTTTGTTGATTTAGAAGATAACCAATTCATTTTTTATGGAGACAAATTATTTGTAACAAAAATTAGAGTGTACATAAATGTAAGAGGAACTGGGGAAATTAAGGCCTGTGGAATAAAAGGAGTTTGGAGGATCAGAGAAAGTCATCAACAACACTAAAGCAATTGTGTGCCTAGTTGGTTGGAGCTTACAGGAAATTTTAGAAACTTTGCATTTTGGACCACAAAAGAGGTCACAACACTGGGGGAGATCATGAAGATAAGTGAGGAAACTGCCATCTCTGAGAAAACTGCAGCAAAATGTTTGGGAAAGAAGTATCTGAGACAGGTCCCAATCAATTTACAAGTTTATTTTGCCAAGGTTAAAGAAATCTCCAGGAGACATTTTGAGGGCTTCATCAAAGAAGATGATTTTGAGAGCTTCAATATTTAGAGAAAAGCAGGCTGGATCGGAAATGGGGAAGGTATGGTCACATCACTGAATCTACATGTTGCAAGAGAAAAGGATCAGGTAGGGGAATAGTAAATTATGTTTTCATGAGGTGTTCAGTAAATCGGCACTTCATATAAGATAAAATGAACATTGAGTAGCTACATACTTCTAGTCTTAGCCATGTTGACAAACACAATTCAATGCAAATGAGAGGGATACAGTTTCCAGTCTCTACAACACTCAGTATTGGAATTTGAGAATTTTTTTCATCAATAAGGCTCATAAAATATAAAACTCACCATTCCTTGGACATAATATAGGTAATTCATTAAGCATTTTATTATTTGTTGCACTTTCAGCCACTCAATGAATATCTATTGAGCAACATGATGCCCCAGGAATGATTTGACCTACTGGAAATAAAACAGTGAATGAAATAAGCAAAATCCTCAAAGTCTAGTAAGTTTTTTTTTTTTTTTCCCAGGAATTAAAGGGTGGTGAGTAGGGAACAAAGAGAAAGACAGTGTAGTAGTTTCCTAGGACTGCCCTAACAAAGTACCACAAACTGGGAGGCTTAAACAACAGAAATTTATTTTCTCATCGTCTTGAAGGCTAGAAGTCAGAGATCAAGGTGTCAGCGGTGAACCAAACCAATCTTCAGAGCCTTCCCTCCTTGGCTGGCAGATGGCCATTTTCTCCTTGAGTCTTTACATGGTCTTCCCTCTATATGTGAGTCTGTGTCCTAATCTCCTCTTTCTATTGGAACACCAGTTATATTAAATCGGGGCCCATCCTAATGACCTCATTTTAATTTAATTACCTATTTGAAGACCCTATCTCCAAATACAGTCACATTCTGAAGTCCTAAGGATTGCGACTTCAACACATACATTTTTTTCTGGGGGTAGGGAAATAAATTTCAGCCCACAACATATGGCAAACAAAAGTTAGTACATAATATAATATCAATTATACTGGTAAGAGAAAAAATCAGTATGGAGGAAGCAATTTATGAATTATATAAAGTGATCTAAAAAAGCCTCTAAAATAAAGGGTTATTTGATAAGACACTTGAGGAAAGTAAAGGACTGAGCTCTGTGGATATTTGGTGATGAAGCATTTCAGGCATAGGAGTAAGTGTGAAAGTAGAGGCAGGAGTTTGCTTATTGCTTTTAAGGAAAAACAAGTCCAGTGTAGCCAGACTGCAGTATGTAGAAGACAAACTGCCTTCAGATGCTTCAGACAACTGAAAGCGTTTCCATAACTAGATAATGCAGAGGGTGAAGTACAGAGCGTTTTAATCGGGGAAGTGAAGTTTTCAGGTTGTGTGGTTTTTGGCTACTGGGTGGTGAGCACAGTGAGATGGATCATGCCGAGTGCTGCTTCAGGGAGGCCAGTTAAAAGCATCTCAGATGAATTCCATTTCTGAAGAAATGTGAAAAGGCCACGTTTTATTGATGCTTTAATTATCAGCATTGCATGAGCAAAACACTTTCAATGAAAGCCTGAAATCAGACATTAAAGGATCAAAATTATTTTTAAAAGACTCCAAACTTAAACTTCTAGAAATGTCCAAAAGTGTAAATGATGAGGCTTTTCGTCCCAGAGGGTTTTATTTAGTTTCAATTTTTAAATGATGTAGCTACTCCTCTTTTTCTCTCCAAAGTGAAGATAATAAAATAACAAAAGAAATAATTATATTGAAAAAAGTCATTAATACTGTCACTTGTTATATAATGATAGTATAAATACATATGTAAACAAACATGTGAATAAAGATATACATTAAAATATATGTTCTATTACTTTATATATCAATCAATATAAGATGAGCATAAAAGGACACTTTTTCTGTTGTACTTGTTAACATTAATTAAAGTTTAGTACTAATAATTCAAGAAAACACAGTCTACATTTATTACTCACTTTTCTTCTGGAGTTGAAAATAAAGTTGTGTGTGTGTGTATGTGTGTAGATATATATTCTTGCTGTGTTTTTTTTTTTTGTTATTTACTAATAGCAGACCAATGTAGATTACTTACACCTTCATGAGTCTTTTCTGTATCTACTTATATCTGAGCTGCATATAACAATTTTTACAACAGTATATGATGCAAATTCCTGAAGGTAAAATCCAATATTCTTTATATTCTATTTTAAATGTTCTGTAAATAATAAAAAAGCATGCAGCTGTAATTTTCAATTCATTGCAGTCATAATAGAGTTTTATAAATTTATGGCCAGCTAAGAAACTATATCCTTGCTTTGAATATATTTTCTGTAGTTCATTCACGTACAATAAATTTGTGTAGTACTCTAAATTTGTTTGTAGATTAACATCATCATGTAATTAAAAATTATAAAATTCTGAAATATTTTATCGGATTGTTTGCATGATCATTTAAAAATTATTACTTGAATTTAAAAAACATAACAAGTGTATCAGCTTATCACTAATGCTTATTAAAAGAAAGTAACCAGCCTTATTCTATTCAGAATGTGATGCTAATGAGGCACTCTGAATGTGTTCTTCATCTGAGCGCACACTAGAGTTCACCTACCACCCACCTCATTAAGCTCGATATGCCGTCAGTATGAGAAATAGAGTGGTGGATATATAAAATAAATACAAAGCAAAAATTGCCATATGAAGTCAATCTCATGTTTAACTCAAGGCTGTGTTTCTTACTGTGCTTATCTTTTGTAATAAAGTTCTCTGCACGAAGTCAAATTCTCAATAACAGTTCATTGAACCCACCTGTTATTTTTGGACATATCAGACCAATTAATTTAAATAAAAATGATTTATTGCTTTTGCAAACACACACAAATAAAAGAGAAAACTTTTTAAAGGTGTGACAACTAATCGTATCATTTATACTTCAAAAAAGAAAATCAAATTTAATGTGATTTCCTAACGGAAATTGGATGCAGATGCTGTAAACTATGCCCACTTCATTAATAATCTCCAAATGTAATTTACACTTCTGAAATATAATAAAAATCCCACAGAAACAAATGAGAGATTGATATTAAGTAGCTATTTTTTTAATATTCTGTTTCTTCAAATGTCACAGCCATCATTCCAAAGTGGAAAATCAATCAAGAGTTACTAGGTACAATAATTCTAAAAGTAATGATGAGAAGCTATTTAGTTCCCTACTATGTACAAATATGTCATCTCATTGTCCATATTTTCTCATTTATTGCTCTAAAATTTTTCACATTTTATATTGGAAGAAACTAGCTCAAACAGACCAAAGCATTTAATCAGGAAGGATATGTATAATGAGGTTTCACTTTTATGTATTATCTTTAGAAAGATTCTAATACTAAAAATTAGAATGAGATAACAATGTAATTTTCATGAGAACAAGTAAGAAAACTAGCATGTGTGTATAATTTGATAAGATATTTTATATATCATGAAATTAAAGTTTCATTCTCAAAAAATACTATGACTTACATCCTTTTGAAATTTTTATAATTAATGAAGCTGAAAGAGACTCTGGTCTTTCTGCTTTAAATCTCCTATTGTTTCCTCTGCTTCTTTTTATTTTTTTTTGAGATGGGGTATCACTCTGTTGTCCAGGCTGGAGTACAGTGGTATGATCTCGGCTCACTGCAACCTCCACCTCCCGGATTCAAGCGATTCTCCTGCCTCAGCCTCCTGAGTAGCTGGGACTACAGGCATGCTCCACCAAGCCCAGCTAATTTTCATATTTTTTAGTAGAGATGGGGTTTCATCATGTTGGCCAACCTGGTCTGGAACTCCTGGCCTCAAGTGATCTGCCTGCCTTGGCCTCTCAAAGTGCTGGGATTATAGGCGGGAGACACCATGCCTGGCCTCCTCTGTTTCTCAATTAGAATAGTTTACTAGATGAAAAAGTTCAATACCAAGTAGATAAGGTAAAAAATAAGACGTCTAAAGCAATTTTTCCTGAAAAACACATTTAAATAAAATAATGCTATAGCAGGTAATGGGCAGGTTGAAACTTGGAAAGCCCCCAATCAAGTAACTGGAGAATATCTAGTTCTCCTACACAATACGAAGATAATTAAGGATTATCTCAGGTCTAGCACAGATAATTACAAAATTTTAGGATAGTAGTGACAGTTAAACTGGGTCACTAGGTAGGAATATTATTTTCTGTCCTTTATTATAAGCTTGTTTTATTTATTTATTTATTTTTATTTTTTTGCAGGCTGGGATATATATGGGAATAGACACACTGATTCTTTAGTTGGTCAGAGAGCTCACCTTGGGACCACTGCCAAGAACCTTGAATATCATACTAGTCTCTATGAGACAATCTAGAGGCAACCATGACAGACACTGTGCCCACTGCCCACATCATTATCTAACTTACAATTTTGCACGTTTTATAGCTGCTTGAAGAGTTAAGCATAGGAAAGCAACTTGGAAAAAAGGGCAAATCATTATTCTCACCAATGTTCAATATTAGCACAGACTCTATCTTAATGTCATGACTTACCAGAATGTATGGGATAAATGTATAGCTAAACTGGTGTTTAGTTAAATAGTCAGGAACTTTAACTAGAAATGTTTACTAAAAAGATAGTTAAAATAAATGGAATAATCATTCAATTCAAAAGTTAGATGGGGAATAATATTAATTTAAGTCAAACCAGAACAAATATAAGTGCATAAAATAATGAAGTAAAAAAAAGAAATTAATTAAATTACCGAACAAGTGCAAGAGCTGTTCTTTTCATATAAAATAATAAGAGAGAGCACCATTGAGTTAACATAGTCAAGAAAACATACAGGTAATTTGAAAAGAAAATGAGAATGAGATCATATGAATAAACACTAATGGAATAAAAACATATAAGAGAAAACTTTTCTAAATCCTATCAAAATTAACATGAACATTTTGATAATTTATAAGGAAACTATGAATTACAAAAACTAATCCCAAAAGAGAACTAAACAAGTATTAACATCAGTAAATGTTTCTCAATAGCTGTTCATAAGAACTGTTTGGGGTTGTTTTATCAACAAAAATGGACAGGTTATAACTGTAAAAATTAAATCACAATCTCTGCAGTATAAAATCAATTTTCCAGTTTTTAACTCCCCAGTTTAGTACTTTTCGAAGCTACGGTTGATGAGACAACAGAAGAGGAATAATTATCTGGCTAAGTGCAAAATAAATGAGAAAAACTGAAGCCATCAAACCTTTATGGTCATACTGTTAACAGCAAGGGGAAGAGAGAGAGATCCTTAGCCAACATTTTAAAATATCATTGTCTGCGTGATTGTGAAAAAAAAAAATCAGAAACACTGCAAACAGTTGAATTTTTCTTTCTTTCTTTCTCTTTCTTTCTTTTTCTTTCTTTCTCTCTTTCTTTCTCTCTTTATCTTTCTTTCTCTCTTTGTCTCTTTCTCTTTCTTTCTTTCTTTCTTTCTTTCTTTCTTTCTTTCTTTCTTTCTTTCTTTCTTTCTTTCTTCTCTTTCTTCTTTCTTTTTTTTTTCTTTTTTTTGACAGGGTCTTACTCTGTCACCCAGGATGGAGTGCAGTGGCACAATCACAGCTCACTGCAGCCTTGGCCTCCTGGGCTCAAGAGATCCTCCCACCTCAGCCACCCCCAACTCCTACCCTAGCCCTGAGTAGCTGGGACTAGAGCTCTGCGCCACCATGCAGGGCTTATTTCTGTAGTTTTTGTGGAGACAGGGCTTATCCATGTCACCCAGACTTGTCTCCTAAGTTGAAGTGATCCTCCCGCCTTGTCCTCCTAAAGTACTGGTATTAGCTACCATGCCCAGCCGAATTTCTGAGTCATAATTTAAGAAAAACTAAAAACAATAGACATACATACATACTCACATAATTTTTAAAAGAGAGAAAAATGATGCTCTTATGGAATAAAACAGAAAAATGAGTTCCGATTTGCACAAAATATCTATCTATGAAGGACAGACCCAAACAAAAGAGAAAAAAAATTAAGGTATAATACAGGACAACATTTTATAAAGAAAACAAGACATATCTGTAGATGGAAACAGGACACGGCTCTCTGTACAAAAAAAGATAATGGCAAACAGTGAGACATATAGTCTAGTAAACTCATTGCACCTCATAGAAATAGGCAGAATCTGGGATGCATGTGACAAAATCAAATAAGTTATAAAGAGGGAAATAAATTCTTCTCCATATTGCAATCTTGCATTCTTAAGTAAAAAATATCCTATGAACCATTTAAGTGTAGAACAGGTGAACCAAAAGTTTTAAAACAAACTATTGCTGAAATATAAAGTGAACAGCCAAAACATTTCACTTTATTTTTTTTTCAACTGGGGGACCACAATTCCCAGGATTTTTCTTGCAGAATTTTTTCAAGTACTGTATCAGTTTGGGTATTGTCTGCTTCACTTCATTTTCTTAAACAAAAAGGATAATTTATCATCTCTGACTAGCAGGCAGGGCAAATTTCAGAATGTTTTCTTTGTCACCTTCTCTGTGTCAGTTTTGTCCTTTGGTAAATAGTCATGGTATCTCCAGATACTACATCAAGATAAAGCAATGCTGAGATTTAGAAAAGGACCATCTTTACTTACAAATATGCTCTAAAATGGAAAATGTTTTCCTAGAGGCCCCATAGCACATGACCTCTCATTACTCTTTGCTCAGAATGATGTGATATTTACACTCATAGAAATCAGGTGCGAGAAACTTATTAGCAAACTGTCAAACAAGACAAAGTATCATAATTCGAAATACATAAAGACATAAACCAAATAAAAGTCAAATTATTTCTCTAGAGCTACACTTGATAAAAAGATTACCAGGCATAGTACATAGTGTTCATGTGGAACTCCCCAAAAATATGGATATAGAAATCTAACTAAGAATGAAATAGACCTAATTTCAATTATGCCTGTGGTACAATTCTATAAAGTAGAATAGAATTTCTACCATCAAGAGTGTATAAAATAATCATAAACATTGATCACACATTAAGAAATATTTAAATATTCCAAAAATTAAAAATAATAAACAAAATTATATCTGATTTTCATGTAATAAAATTATCAACCTGTTATAAACATACAAAAAATACCAATGTCAAGAATATTTTTAAAATACTGTAAACATTTGGATCAAAAAAACAAAAATTATTTATTTATTAATTTATGTATCCTCTTTACAACCATTTACCAAACTACTACATAACATGTATA
Organism: Homo sapiens; assembly: GCF_000001405.40. Lineage (NCBI taxonomy): Eukaryota > Metazoa > Chordata > Mammalia > Primates > Hominidae > Homo > Homo sapiens. Next base: position 116,511,418 of record NC_000004.12, read on the forward strand.
ATACAAGGAATTACATAACATGTATAAGTGCAAGGAGGATGCAATTATGACAAAACAGATGGCATCCATCTCCTCCATGAACCTTGCATTCTAATGCAAGAGACTCACAGATGACTGAGGGTATAACAGGGCATGATATTTTAGATAGGGTAGTAACATAAGGCTATCTTGATAAGTGGATTTTTGAACACTGAATAAAGTATAACAGTGAGCGATATGAATATCTGGGAAAGAGCATTCCAGACAAGGAAACTATAAGTATAATGCCCTCGAATGTTTATGGAATTGATATATTGGAAGAACAACAAAAAGGACAAACTGGTTGATACAGAGTGATGCAGTGAGATTTGCCATATATGTATATGTGTGAATGCGTGTCCATGTGTACATATATAATTTTACATATAAATGTATGTATAAATTTTGGATAAAGTATAATTTTGTTTATATAATTTTACTATGTGCATACAATTTACTTGATTCATGTACTTCTCTCTACCATTTTTAAATGGAGTGACAAGACAGTATTATCATTATGCTATACAGTTCTTATGTTATTTCTTGAAGCACATGATGAATATGTGGTTGTACCACTTTATGTGACACTTTGCTTGACCCGATAATTTATATTAAATTAATCTAGTTTCTCCATTATAATGTTTTCACTTGGAACATAAGTGGGTGCAGCGCACCAGCACGGCACATGTATACATATGTAACTAACCTGCACAATGTGCACATGTACCCTAAAATTTAAAGTATAATAAAAAAAAAAAAACAGAAATACCTCATGAATTAGATTGATATAGAAATAATGGAGAAGGAAAAATGACAGCAAGAATCTGGATGGTCAATTAAGTGAGTGGTGTGCCATTTGCTGTAATAAGTACACAGAGAGAAGTAGACATTTGGATGATTAAAGCTTCATTCATAAATGGGATTTATTTTTGGTGCATGTTAACATTTAAGCTTTGAAATGAATCTGAAATTCGGAGAAAAGCTCAGGAATAGAGATATAAAATTTGAGGGTCATTAGATTGTAGACAGTTTCCTATACAAGTGATTAAAGAAGATAATCTTAGTAGCAAATACTGTACTAAAAAAGAAGAAGACAAAGACTCAGATACAATATCATAAAACACCTCATGATTTATTGGCTAGAAAAATTATGTGTATTTAACTTTTGAGACTGATAAGTAATGGTCATTTAGACGAGATGAAATCCTGCAGGGTGCCATGCATCAAAAGTTGGGAAAGTAAGCACAGAAAACAGGGAGTGGTTGGCTGGAACAAACATTGCTTAAAGGTCAACTTAAATTGGGAACAAGAACTGACATTTGAATTTGGCAGTGGAAGGTCATTGCTGACCTTGGCAGTGGAAATTCTCATTCGAGAGATGGATGGAAGAGCTCTTTTGAAATGTCGATTCCAGAGATCACAGGAGAAAAGGAAGTGGAGATACCAAATATAGACAACACTAGTGAGATATTTATAATGTGAGGTAATAAATAAACCAGTACTTGGAGATGCCTCTTGTGTCAAGACAATTTTGTTGTTGTTGTTGTTTTAAGATGGAATGTATTTTATCATATTTACATTCTAATTGGAAGAGCCCAGGAAACAAAGGAAAGTACGCAATGTAGAAGAAAGAAAGGGTGATTATATAAGAAATGGACTAAATCGGGAGAGTTTATAATTCTGGTGAGCAAATGGAAAAACTTATTATAGACAGACAGATCCAAGAAATATTCACTCTAATAGAGTTAGGTAGAAAGGCAGACTTTTTGGTCAAGGAATATGAGACTAGTTTTCACATTTTCTTCATTTTCTTATAATAAATGTAAATGTCAGTTGAGAATGGGAGGAAAAGAAGGGGTAGTATATCTTCATTTGAAGGGTAGTAAAATAACTTGAGCAGTAAAGCATATTAAGAATTGTTGGAACCACTTAGGGTCCACTGAGGTTGAGATAATGTATTTAGAATGAGACCATGTCGTGTGATTGAGTGCGTGCAATGGCATTCAGATGTTTTCTTGCAGATACTGAAAGAGAGTTACACATTAACAGACTTGAGATTTTGAAAAGCAACAGATTATTGTGGGAGAGAGAGGCAGGGGAAATAGGTAAGTGAGCAAGCAGAGATTGTAATTGTGGATTAATATGGAGGAAAGTGAGAACATGACAGAAATAAATGGGCACTGGAAAGATGGTAAGCTCAATGAATTAAAAATACCTATATCAGATTATTTTTAAAATAAGATATTTCATATATATTTGAACTGTTTTATCTACTCACCAATGATCTTACCCTGACATACACAGGCAACCTATATTTAACCACTGACCTGAATTTTATGCTAATGATTTCTGAGTGTGTCTCTGTAAGTTTACTAAACATATATATCCTTATTTTTAGCCTTTTTACAAATATGTGGTATAATATTTTTTGTATCCTTCTGCAACTACTTGATTTTAAGCTCAGCTGTGTAATAATTTTGGTTGGTGTTACTTTACTTAGTATTCCTAAATTTGAGAGTCTGATGAATCTTTTTCTACATCACTCAATCTACCATATAGACCTAATTATGGTAAAAAAAGTATTATTTTAAAATTAGTACTCAACCATCAATTCCTAATTTAAATAATATTTCTTTCCTGGGAATCTTCTCAAATCCTTTGTCTAGGACTTCTGGCTACTTTTTGTATCTCTAGCATGTAGTTCATATCTCTCTTCCAGAATTTATGGTTTTTTTAATTGTGATACTTATGTATATATATATACAGAATGATTGCTTGCATTTGCATTCATAATACAAATTCTTATTCCAATTCTTATTCTTATCTCTAATATAGAATAATGTAATTGCTACCATTAAACTGGATTCAGCTTTGTAACTGCAAAAGACAAAAGTCTAGGGGCCTATTGTCAAAGGGTGACTCTTGAATGTTGAGAGGATGGTATCTGTCACTGAGGATTATCTGGAACTTGATGGCCTGAAGGTGAGAGGAGACAAATCAGGTTCTTACATTTAGAAGAATGTTGAGAGCAACTGTCAAAGTCTTACAGTTGATTATAAACCACCTTTTGAAGAGGATCAAAACAGGACAACAAGCATCTGTGGATGACAAAACATAGTACAACAACTACAGTTAGACATAATTGGCAAGGAAATTTGTTACCTCTGTGAAACAAAATAATTTAACATAACAATTATAATGATTACTGATAATGTATACTAAGTTATATCGGAATTATAGGGGTTTCACATAATTTTGGAACATGTACCAATAACACATTTATAATGAACAGATTAATGCTTTAATAAAGTTCTGTTGTACTATTACTCCAGTGTTCAACTTACAAAATCCTGAATAATACCCCTTTGACTTTAGCCAACATGATTATACACAGAATTTCTTTTATGAGATAAACTTTTTACAAACCTTCCACAATGTGCTTAAAACTTTAGCTTTATCCTATCTAACTTAAAATAATCCTTTAACCCTCTAAACTAGGCAAAAATATTTACATTCCCATGCCTTCTTATAACCTTTTACAAAAGCACATTTCACTTTCCGTACACATCTTCCACTTAAAACTACTTTTCCAGTAGTCTCAAGTACATGTTACACTGTTAACTCTTAGCAACTGTTACTTTTGGTGAAAAACCTGGTAAGTAAGTGATTCTAATTACAGGCTAGGTGTGAAGCCTAGGACACTAGACAGAAGTGCAGATAAGATGTGAGTCTTTCCAGCATAGCTAGAGGGCATGGGTAACTCTGTATGTCCCCAGGTCTTGCTTAGAATTTGATGGTTTTAAAACTTGTGCTATTCAGCGTCATAGTAGCACTTTATGACCTTAAGACATTTAGTAGACCCAATATGCTTTAAAGTTGTATTACATTTCTTTCATAAATTTACTTTCACAAATTTTTTTTACAATGTAAACAGACCATCAACAACATGCTTGAACTTTCTTTTAAAACAACCAGTCATTTTACTTTAGGACAAGAATTCCCCATACAAGATCCTTTTCTTCATAAAAAATATCTTTTCTTTATAAAACCCCTCTTTACCTATGCTTTTGATTAAATACGTCATTTTCCTTCTGTTAGAAAGTTAGGGTTTGTTGCCATGTGAGTCCTGTGAATGAGGAGCAGATAAGGAGGTTATCTGTACACTGTAGAAGTTATCCCCCCTCAAGAGATTCCTTGGTTAGATTTTTGCTAGGGCTTGTTCAAATAAGTGTGGGCTATTTCTAAACCTCTCAGGTAGGACTGTCCAGATTGAAGTAATTCGTTAAAGATTTAGGTAGCTTTCCCAGGAGAAATAGGGCTGTTAGAGGGAAAGATGAATATAGAGGTCGGGTAAATACTAAGAAGGCACCCATTTAGAAAGTATATTTTTGGCCCAAAGTGGTGTGAATCTTTTCTCTGGAGAGAGAGGGTGCCATTTGCCCCCATTACCCAACAGGATTTGGAGGAGAGTTGCTCAGGAAAGGAAATTAGCACAGAATAGGAAGCTCTTGAAACCAAAAGGTAAAATTATAATTTTACCTGCTGCCCCTGGAGTTGCCCTTGGATTTGTACTTTTGATGACAATGTTTAATTTGGAAGCCACCAAGAGCAGAGAGTCCTTTCAGCTCAAGGCCATCAAGGGTTGGGATTCTATCCCAGGGGCCCTTCAGCTCTCAGGGCAGCCTTTTTTCCAATGGCCTAGCTTGTGGCAGAAGGGCAAGCCATGTGTGGCTTCCTCTTGTTAGTCCTGTCGGGGCAGTTTGCATTCCAGAAGTCTGGCTTCCCACATCAATTGTAGTTATCTGAAGTAGTGTCCTTAGGGTAACCTGGAGGGGGCTGGAGAGCTTGCAGAGCAGCCAGTAGGTGAGCCTACCTCTTATTGTGGCATTTTTATTCTCCTTAGCCCTGTTCTCTTTATTTTGCCCTCCGATATAAAGGACTGAGAAGGCTAATTTGAGGATTTCCTGCATAAATGCACTGGGTTCTAAGGCTGACTTCTGTATTTCCTCCCAGTTTATGTTTAGGTCAAAGAGTATTACAAAGGAAAACTAGTTTTTGTTTTAAGCCTGGGGATTAAACTTTTCCCAGTTCTTGGGAATGCATCTGAGGGGTATGAAAAAAATGAAAAGGAAAAAGAAGAATTTCCTTCTTATTTTCCTGTTATCCTAAATGGGGCATCCTCCCCTTATCCTTAGGGTACCAAAATGAATGGTCTTACTGTGTACCTTTAACCTTGGTCTCATCTGGTCACAATTACCCACTTGAGAACACAGGAGACACTAGAGTGAACAGAGGGGTCCCCAGTTTGCCCTTGGCACTCTGGAATGAACCAATCTTACTGGGTACCCTAGTCTTGCCTTCATCTCTATTCTGTAGTAATCTATTAGCCTGAAACCAATCTTCCTCTCTATCCTATGGGTCTTTTGCACCTGCCGCCTTGGGCCAGCCTACATTCTTGTCTCCATGACCTTATAGTGACTCCTACTTGGAGCATTCTAGCAAAAAAAATGACTATCTCTTTTCTCAAATTCCAATTTCCCAGGTTTTTTAAGTAGACAAGAAGCCTGTTTTTCAGCTAACGGGCACAAGGTGGCTGGACTTTCCTCCTGTTGAATATGACCTTGAAGGTCTTGATGCATAATGAAAGGGTGTGGAAGTGATGAGAGAAATGGGGGCTACTGCAGGAAGTGGGAGGAAGCAAGAAGAATGCTCATGGAAGCCCTCAGATGCTTGAAAAAACAGCAGCCTTGGATTCCAGATGGCAACATTTATTTGATCTCTTGACATAAAGGGGACTTGGGGCTTGGAGTAAGAACTCACAAATGGCAAAAGAAGAATTTTCCTTTTCCCATAGGAGTGCTAACTCAAAAAAAGCAATTAAGTAGTGTATTAGTCTGTTTTCATGCTGATGATGAAAACATACCCAGGGCTGGGTAATTTATAAAGAAAAAGAGGTTTAATGGACTCAGAGTTCCACGAGGCTGGGGAGGCCTCACAATCATGGCAGAAGGTAAAAGGTACATCATACATGGTGGTAGACAAGAGAGAATGAAAGCCAAGCAAAAGGGGTTTCCCCTTATAAAACCACCAGATCTCATGAGACTTTTTCACTACCATGAGAACAGTATGGGAGAAACCACCCCCCTGAATCAATTTTCTCCCACTGGACCCATCCCACAACATGTGGGAATTATGGGAGATACAATTTAAGATGAGATTTGGGTGAGGACACAGCCAAACCAAATCATTCTGCCCCTGGTCCCTCTCAAATCGCATGTCCTCACATTTCAAAACTAATCATGCCTTCCAAACAGTCCCCCAAAGTCTTAACTCCTTTCAGCATTAACTCAAAAGTTACTTCCTAGATACAATGAGGGTACAGGCATTAGATAAATACACCTATTCCAAATGGGAGAAATGAGCCAAAATGAAGGGGGCTAAAGGCCCCATGCAAGTCCAAAATTCAGCGGCTTTTCCAGGAGCACAGTGCAAGCTGTCTGTCAATCTACCATTCTGGGGTCTGGAGAATGATGACCCTCTTCTGAGAGCTCCACTAGGCAGTGCCCCAGTGGGACTCTATGTAGGGGCTTCAACCCCACATTTTCCTTCTGGACTACCCTAACAGAGGCTCTCCATGAGGGTCCTGTCCCCAAACTTCTGCCTGGACATGCAGGCATTTCCAATTCTTGACTTCTATGCACCCACAGGCTTAACACCAAGTGGAAGCTACCAAAACTTGGGGCTTGCACCCTCTGAAGCCATGGCCTGAGCTGTACCTTGGCTCTTTTTAGCTATGGCTAGAAAGGTTGTGATGCAGGGCACCAAGTCCTTAGGATACACATAGGAGTGGGACCCTGGGACCTGCCCATGTAATTAAAGGTCTCTGACATGCCCTGGAGACATTTTCCCCACTGTCTTGAGGATTAACATTTGACTCCTCGTTATTTATGCAAATTTCTGCAGCTGGATTGAATTTCTCTTCAGAAAATGGGTTTTTTTCTTTTCTATTGCTTCATCAGGCTGCAAATTGTCTGAACTGTTGTGCTCTATTTCCCTTTTAAAACTGAATGCTTTTAACAGCACCCAAGTCACCTCTCGACTGCTTTGCTACTTAGAAATTTCTTCCGCTAGATACCCTAAATCATCTCCTTCAAGTTCAAAGTTCCACAAATCTCTATGGCAGGGGCAAAATGCTACCAGTCTCTTTGCTAAAACATAGAGTCACCTTGTCCAGTTCCCAAGAAGTTCCTCATTTCCATCTGAGATCGCCTCAGCTGAGATTTCATTGTCCATATCGTTATCAGCATTTCGGTCAAAGGCATTCAACAAGTCTCTAGGAAGTTCCAAACTTTCCCACATTTTTCTATCTTCTTCTGAGTCCTCTGAATTCTTCCAGCCTCTGCCTGTTGCCCAGTTCCAAAGTCGCTTCCACATTTTTGGGTATCTTTACAGCAGTGCCCCAGTCTACCATACCAATTTACTGTATTAGTCCATTTTCACACTGTTGATAAAGACATACCCAAGATTGGGTAATTTATAAAGAAAAAGGTTTAATGGACTCACAGTTCCATGAGGCTGGGGGAGCCTCACAATCATGGTGGAAGGCAAAAGGCACATCTTACAAGGTGGCAGACAATAGAGAATGAAAGCCAAGTGAATGGGGTTTCTCCTTATTAAACCATCATATCTCATGAGACTTATTTACTACTAGGAGAACTGTATGGGGGAAACTGCCCCCATGATTCAATGATCTCCCATTGGGTCCCTCCCACAACATGTGGACATTATGGGAGCTACAATTCAAGATAAGATTTGGGTGGTGACACAACCAAATCATATCAGGTGGAGTTCTTAAAGGGCCAGAGTGAGGTCTTAGGGCAGGAGGACAAACTGCTTCAAAAGCTACCAAAACACTTGGCCCTGGAACTTAACAGAGATGAAAAGTGAAAAGCATGTGGTAAGTCATAAGGAGCTGGCAGAGCTGGGGTTCCAATTAGTGTCTGTCCCAGCAGTGAGCCAGCTGATGAGAAAGTTTTGGACATCATCACAGCTGGTAGGGTAGAAAGAAATATAAATGTCAGGAGATACAAGCAAGGGAGCCTGTGTCTTTGATCCTGAAAAAATGCAGCAAGAGCAGTGGGTACACGAATAATAGGAAGTGTGTGTATTTAAGGCAGGGAAGGAAGCGACACGGCATGCCAAATGAAACCAGAGAAGAGACCGACTTGCCCCTGAGGCAGATGGTCTAGCAGATGCACAAGGGTATTTCAGAATACACACAAAGGAAACAGGAGGATAGGTGTGCAGGTTTTGGGGAAAGAGCCGATTTTAGCTGAAAAAGCAGAGGAAACCCTAGACGTTTCAGGGATTTAGGCTTTAGCCCTACCACTCTCTTGAGCCTCCTGTTCAGGAGGGCCATAAACATCTCAGGTCATCTCGTCATGGACTCCAAGGTCCTTTCCACCCCCAGCAAGCCACCTGTCAGTGTGAACTGAGAGATCAGCTTGGGGGAGTGGAGCCACTGTGGCTGAGAGGGATTGTTGTGAGAGTTGGTTAGCAAGCAGGAGAATGAAAGAGAAGAAGGAATGTGCACACAGGGGTTGAATGCCTCCAGCCGAAGAAGGCAAAGCATAGAGGGGTCTTACCCCTAGGGAACATATCCTAGTCACACTGTATGGCAAATCCATACAGGTCTGCAGCGACTTCAATTCTGGCCTCTTCAAAATAAAGAATTTTACTTAGAGGTGTAAGGCAGAGGGAGAGACCGAGGCAAGTTTTAGAGCAGGACTGAACATTAAATAGTTTTAGGGCAGGAATGAAAGGAAGTAAACTACACTTGGAAGAGGGCCAAGCGGGTAACTTGAGGGAGTCAAATGTGTGTGGTTTGATCTCTGACGTGGGGTTTTATTCATTGGCATATAAAACCTTGATTCTTCCCTTGGGGTATGCTGCCCGCGTGTGGGGTGGCCTGCCAGCACCAAGGAGGGGACACATGGGCAATGTGTTTACTGAAGTTGTACCCATGCTCACTTGAGGCATTCTTCCCTTACCAATCAGGTGTTCCCATAAGATTAATATCAGCAAACTCTGCCACTTTGCCTCTTAGTGTGCATGTTTGAATCTACTTTCCCAGCTCCTGAGATCTTACTGGGAAGCTGATCACCAGTTTCAGGTTTTTCTATTTACTGGGAGACTACGTTTTCCCTGGTGCCAGCTGTGACCATTATTTTATAGAGACAGTTTAACAACCACCTGAACATCACTTGATGGTCAGCTGACATTCCTGGTTTGGGGGCCCTCTCCTGCCTGCTCATGTCTGCCTGACTACCTACTGTAACATTCTGATGAGGGAGCTTGAAGGCCAGGTAGCAGGAGAGAGGCAGGAGAGGGAAACGGATGTAAGGTGGGGAAGGACAAACAAGTTTGTACCCACCAGCATCAACTGCAGTCAAAGACGACAGGCAGAAGTCTGTTTTAGTTATTTCTGCCTCTGATGTTGATGGAAGGAAAGGGGGGCCTTCATTATAAAGGAAAACACATACACCTGGTTCAGGAGTCAAAGAAGCTGAAGGAGGACCCAAGGGAACGTGGAGCAGTGGTATGCCCATTCACTGTTTCACCACAGAGAAACAACAATGTGCAGAAAGTACAATGTGCAGAAAGTACACCAATGAGGAACAGAAAGTGGCTGCTGTCTCACTTTTGCCCTACAACTCTCAGACAAGTATCTCTCTCAAGTCCCATACCAACTGGAAACAAACTGGAAAGAAATTCCGGGAAATGTAGTTTATAAGCTGACACATTGTAAAGCCCTCACAAATACTGCATTTCCTTTACTATTTTTCTAGATAAATTATTTTGTGTACCACATTTCTAGGCTATGTCTACAAATACTTTTCATAAAAGTAGAGTCTAAAATATTTTGTTGTTTTTCAGTACATAGGGGTGATTCACTTCTATAAATGAATGCTTCAGTTTTAAATGCATTGGAATATTGAAGAGGGAACATTTCTTGTGTTGCATTCAAATATTTATATTAGAAATGTTCAGTTGTGATATAATGACAGAAACAAAAAATTAAAATCTCACAAAATAAAGATTATGATTTCTGTATATTTTCATCCATGCTCCAAAAAGGTAAATTGACTCATGTTTCCACTCTCTTTGTCACTTGGCCAGTGATTTATAGTACAAAGAGTGAAGATTTTAGAAGGCCCTTCTAGGAGAGCACATTTCCTGCCTCTCTGGAGCCAATATCCAATGTGCCTGTAAATTACCGAAATGAGTTACTTATTTAATAATTCAGACCAAAACAAATATTGTCGTCTTTTAACAGCACCACAATTTCCTTTGAAAACTTATGTTTTCTGTGTTGGATGCAATTCAAAAGAAAATCTGCCTTTTCCTATCTGAGGGGAAGGTGTGTAGCTCAAGCTAAGATAATCACATTAATATAATAATTCAAAAAATAATTAATGGTCATGATGACTGCACTTATTTTTAATTCATAACTGGCAAAATATTAATAATATTAATATTCAAAGAAAGCTTTCTCAGGACAAGGTCTCCATACTCCCAGGCATTTGTATTAACTGATACTCTGCAGAAAATTTATTTTTACCCTGTCAATTCCAGCATTGTAACTGATAACAAAAGGCCAGTGCTGTAAAATAACTGCAGTTGCACAAAATATGCGCTGGAAAAAAATAAATCCAAAGTGGCATAACATATTCCCTTATATAGAAAATAATCAAACCCAGTCTAATCTGGTCGAGAGGCTGAAAGCACGTGCTATTTATCATTTAATTTCTTTCACAGATTTAAGTATGCCACATATTGTTTTGTTTTGTATGTAGTGATAGAGTTTGGCAGTCATATACACTTAGAAGAATTAACAACATCATATAGGAAAAATAGATTCAGAAACTATTTCTATAGGACTGTATTTTGGAGAAAATGAAATTGAATATAAGAGCCTTGTAAAGTAGTTGTTTTCAAAGTGTGATCTGCAGACTTGCATGGGGATGCCACAAGGTTTTTAGGGGACTGTGAGAGCAAAATTGTTTTCATATTAATATTAGGATATTTTGTTTTTGTGTTGACATTTGCATTAATATGATAAACTCAATGATGAGTGAGACTACTATTGGCTTAGCTTGAATAAAAACGGTGGTACCAAACCCTTCCAGTAGTCACTGTGTTTTTCACCAGGAAGTGCTTCTTGTAAGAAAATAAAAAAAAAAAATAGAAGCCAGTTTTCATGGTCCATGAAGATATGAAGATTAATATTAATAAATATTGGCAATAGTGTTCATACATTTCTAATATTGTTTGAAAAAAATTTTAAGTATTAATAAAGTACTCATGGTACATAACAAAGTACAATTTTTGCCTTAAGTGAAAGCACTTGTGTGATTGATGTGATAACTGAACTAGTTATCTTTGTAAATGAACCACAATTTTTACTTGAAAGAATGAGATGACCTGCAGTTATGCAGATTTATGTACTTGGTGGACATTTTCTTGAATATGAACTAAATTAGTTTGACATTGTAAGGAAAATAACTTAAAATTTGAACTTACAGCAAACATTAGAATTATGAAAATGGGTATCTGCCATTTTCAGCTTGACAACATCCAATAATTAACATACTTTCTGATGAGAAAACTATTGAATGCCAATATCTTTATATTGTATTGTGCAATATGTCAACATTTGGATGCATTTATTTTTATGATTCAAAGAACCAAACCCATAGCTTCCAAATGACCAATGCATTATGTTACAAAATCATGCATGGGTAAAATGTTAATTTAAAATGCATATAAGTGCAGTGGAGTTTAATGTGAAACACTGCAAAAAGCTCAATACCTCAATAATATGGTTTCAGGTTCTACATTAAAATTAGCTTTTATGATACCATCATTTTTTATGTTTAGGAGTAGTATCCAAGAAAAATATCCACAATTATCCAGAAAGACATACTTTAAAGATATCGAGAACTATTCTGATTTTTTTCACTAATTTTTATGTTTAAAATATTTTTCAAAAAAAAGTTAGTTTTGTTAACATGTAATTAGTTTTTCATTGTTCTAAAGATTATGGTAAATATTTATATTTTTAATATTATCATTTACATTACAAATATTATGTATGTTCCACATAAATACAAATTTATTCAGGTCCTCAACAATTTTTTAAACTTTAAAATATTAATAAGCCTAAAAAGTTTGAGAACCTTTTTTTCTAGAAGGTAGAAATATACAACATATACATTGTCTGTGTTTGTAAAACTCTTCTACAATTCCGTGGAATCTTTCATTTATTTTTTCAATAAAGGTTTATTGAACAGCTACACTATAGTAACCATTTTTGCAGGTGCTAAGATTAGAGAAGTAAAAAAAAAATAAACTCTTCTGTTTTTAAGGATTTTATATATTGCTGCCTTTTGTCTCTCCCTCATAGTGACAGTGACCACCATCACTGAGTCCCTTACTCCTTCATCTGCTAATGTCTCATTTACTTTGTTTTCATTGTTTTAAGATTTTGAAAATGTATTTTTAAAATCCTTGAAAAAAATCTTGGCTAGGCATGATGACTCATGCTTGTAATCCCAGTGCTTTGGGAGGCTGTGGAGAGAGGATAACTTGAGTCCAGGAGTTCACGACCAGCCTGGGTAACAAAGAAAGATCCCTTCTCTACAAGAATTTTAAAAAATTAGCCAAGTGCTGTGGCACATGCTTGTAGTCTTTACTACTTGGGAGGCTGAGGTGGGAGGATTGCTTGAACCCAGGAGGTAGAAGCTGCTGTGAGCTATAATCATGACACTGCAATTCAGCGTGGGTGACAAGAGATTCTGTCTCAAAAAACAAAAACAAAAACAAAACAAACAAACAAAAAACTTGAAATAAAATCTTTAAGAAAAAAGACTCATCAATTTTATTCTATAGCGATAGTAAACAGAATCAGTTCTTCAATTCTGATAAACTTTATTTTTATTCAAATACATCTGACTTTATATATATGCCTCAAATTTTTATTACAAATATTTCCAGGGTTCTCTGCATATCTACATATGCCTTAGCAGATGACCTGTCCTGTTCAGAATAAAGTCTGAATTGTGGAAAATAGGTCAGTCAGGCAAATAGATATTGGAGAGTTTTTAGTAGCCAATTTTGATTTCCCATACATGTATGCATTTTATTAAAAGTATATTGACATTTATCAAGAAGTAAGTCCATGATCCTCTAATTGGAGAGTAAAATGATAAAATAGTAAAAGGAACTGGGAAAAATATCAGTAAAATTATTAAATATCTAGAATTTAGAAAATTGTGAGAGAACATAGTGTTGGATGTAAGAGAAAGTTTAAATGATCTAATGCTACAACAATTTGAGAGAAATATATTTGCACATATATATCAGCATAATTATATCGAATTTGTGAGACTTTTCATTGTTATTAATTGGACAGTTTCTTCAAGTTGACTGTAAAACACTTCCAGGAAAAGTAGTTCTCTAAAAGTAAAAATAACTCTAAGCTAGGAGAAGATCTGAGATAACAATTCCTACTCTTCCACTCAACTTTCACAAGTTGTGCAGTATCTATTGATGTGTTTTGAATTTTTCAAAATTTTTGTAATGATACTCTATATACAAATTTGTGAAAGACTAATTGGTACCATATTAAATATACTTTGTAAAATATTACATAATTTTAGGTAGACATTGTGTTTTCAAAAAATATAACATTTTAAATTTCTTTTATTCTAATTTTCTCTCCCTAGCTTATCTAGCCAATTTAAATGCAATTCTTACCAAATGATAATGACCTAATATTGCATCTTTAGCATTTTCTTTATCACAAATTTATAACCAAGAAAACAATCAACTACGTTGTAAAAATATGACGGATATCTACATAAGGAAATAATCCTAAAGTAATCTGCTAAACACTTGAGACAGAAAAAAATAAATAAATAATAGATAGTTATAGGACAGGATGACATAACAAGAAAGTTAATTAAGAAAAACTAGTGATGAACTTATAAGCATAATTTGACAAACTGCAATACAGATAACTTGTCTTTGAATTGGCAGCCCAAACTTTTACAGTATTTTGTGTTAAGGTCTGTGAAGACCTACTGGTATTTGTGAATATGAACTTGGATCACAATAATTTTTCCTAAATTGATGTGGAGAAACATTTCTTAGTCATTACGTTTAACTTTCAATCAAACCAAGTATTACCGTTTATGAAAAATAATGTACCTTGGAAATGAATCTGAAGAAGCAGTTTTTCTTATTAAATCAACATTTACGAAATTAGCATTAATTAATTTGAAATGAAGCAAGTTTTATAATCAACCATTGTATACATGTCTATGTAATTGACTGGGATGCTTATTTGACAAAAACATTCTAAAAGCCCAAATAAATTCAAAATCTACTTGTTGACACACACATATTATATAAACAGTATATTTTCCATGCATAAAATTTTGCTTTTGTTATTTCTCTGTTCTCAGCTTAGCCTCAAGTCTTTGCAGTTGCTGTTTCCATATCCTGCAATGCTCTGGATCGCCTAGATCTTTATATGGTTTGCTACCTCACACTATTTGTCTCTGATAAAATGTCATTTCCTCAAACATTTCTTCTCTGACTGTCCTTGCAAATACTCAAGTCAGCTTCCTCATGACAATTATTCACTTGAATAAAGACAACCATGAGTTTTCTCATGTACAAGATAAATATCCTTAATTCCATTACCCAGTCTTTAATGGTTAGGAATATTCTCATCATTCCTTGTTCTTCAAATTGTCATTGTACCTCTTAAAATAAATATCTAAAATTGAATAAAGTATCATGTATGGCATGGCCAGTAAAGGGCAGAAGAGAACTGTTACCTTCCTCATTTTAAATGCTTGAATTCTTTAATATATCTTGAGATTTCATTAGCATGTTTGTCAAATATATCTTCTTGTTGACTCACACTAAGAATATTGAAAATTATGTACCTAAATAATGCTATAATAGTAAGCCACATTTTTCTCTCTTGATTTATACTTTTAACTAAATTTTACTTTTTCTTTCAATGACTATTTTAAATGTTGGCCAATGTATATAAAATAAAATAATATATAATTTGACATCAAATTAACTAGAAACATTAACTTTATCCTAATAACTAAGAACCCCTAGGTTCTTAAAGGAAACATTTATTGTTTCATTTGGTTCCTCAAGTGACAATTCTATATTCTCTTATCACAACAATTGTTTTATGACCTAATGAACAGAATAAATTTGCCAGAAACACTAGTTAAAAACTAAAATTAGTTAACAAATCTTGAATTATATTGTAGTATTAGAATAACACTACATTTTTAATTAATGTTACTATTTATACTTGAGAAATGTTATTAACTAAGATGTTGGAATAATGAGCTTTTCACACCTCAAAGCTCAGTGGAGAGTTTGGCTGTAGAGGAAAATCAATTCATTATAAAATTATCTTCTAAGCAACTAGAAGCTGTTAATAAAATAAATCATCATAGTATTTTCAGAACCATGAAGCTGCTCATGCAACAGTGATGAAGTGAAAAATAATTGGCGTTTATGCATGTTTCATACTCGAATGGGCTTTACCTGCTGTTTCAATTTTGATATTGGAGAAAGAACCAAAAAATAATAATCAAAACGTATAGTTTAATTATTGGAAACCACTTTGAGATGTTCTAAATATCCTAAAGAAAAGGTAACTCCTTAGTGAATTAAGGAGTTTTTGTTTTCCTTAGTGAAAAGTTAACTCCTTAGCTAAAATCTTAATAAATTATAGGTTTTTTTTTAGATGCTAGGTTCCAATAGGTACACTCAGGCAAACAATTACATTAATATTGTCAAAGAGAAATGACATTTGATATCTTTACTGTCCACCTTGATTCCAGGACTCTGCGTGCTTGACAGAATCTGTGTATTCGCTATCTGTCTTTCCTCTTTTTCAAAGTTCGTTTGTTTCATGCTCCAGTTACATGGATAATGGAGAAGGAAAAAATTTTATGACTCACAGCATGGTAGATAACATAAGCTTCATATTTACATCAATCCTCCTTCCTCTTCAAATATCAGAAGTGTAATATGTAGGCAGGCCAAGCTGAATGCTGCACGCACACTAGGTTTATGGCACAGCTGAAGAAATTCAAGCTTAGGTAACCTTGATCTTTTGATGGGAGTTGCTAGTGAAACTGACCAATTATTTACCCTAGAGGAAGACTTTGTACAGCTGTTTAATTCACAAACATCCTTAGTCTGGATATCTGATATAAGACTTGCAGCAACTGGAGGGACCTATTGAAAATCATGTCTCAACACTCTTAGGAGTTAAGATTTAGCCAGAGACCTGAATGGCAAAAAAGATCCAGCCACTGATAATCAGAGAAAGCCTCCTGAGGAATGAATGCAACTGTTGCAAAGGTCCTACGGAGAAAAAACAAAACAAAACAAAACAAAACAAAACAGAAAACAAAAAAACTGAAGATTTAGGGAAACAGAAAGATATCATAGGCCACAGGTGAAGTCTAATACGTGATTTCAAAGTGGTTGATAGGGGTCAGATTTTATAAAACAAGACTTCTCAAATTTTAATACTCATAATCACATGGGAAGAGGTTCTTGTTAAAATGCTGATTCTATTTAAGTAGATCTGGGGCAGGGTGTAAAATTCTGCATTCTAACAATGTCCAGTGAGAAATGATTGTGGTGTACGGTAGTGATCGAGGCAGAGAATACTGGGCTGATACAATTTAGCACACATTATGCAAACAGATATAATCAATGGAATAGATATGGATGGTAATGAATGAAATAGACGTAGATTGTGAGGGAACAAAATGGATACAGAGGATAAAGGGAATAGAGTCGTAAAGGAAAACTCCTAGGTATTTTGACTTTAAAATTGTATATATTATAGCATAATTCTTTGAGATAGGAAAGACAGGAAAAAAGCATCCTGAGTGTATGTGGGTGAATATGAGAATTAAGTGTTCTATTTGAAGAAGAAATGTGAACCTACAAGAAATTCAAGTGTGTAAGTCAAGTAATCAAGTAGATGGTATACACATTTGCAGTGATAAAGGTCATTAACATATAGGTACATATAGCTATTACGTAAGTTATAGAATTAAGTTAAACTATCTAGGAAATTGAGGAGTAAAGAAGATCTAAACAATACTCAGAGCTTTTAAAGTTTTAACAAGGAAGAAACCAGAGAAAGGGTCCCATATGAAGCAGGAAACAGTCTTCTTTGATGGCATTAACAAGAGCACTTGGTGCACTTTTTGAAACAGGAAATTCAGTGAAGTTAGTTAAGGAGAAAACGGGAGGGACAGAAGTAGGGACAGCAAGATATAGTTTTTTTCTTTAAGCTTTGTTCTAAAGGTTCACTGTAAGAAAATAATTGTAGTTAAAAGGGGATATAAGCAAAAGTGAGAACTTCTTTACTCTTGTTTTATGATAGAAGACATTAAAGCATCTTGGCACGTGAGGGGATTGATCAAGTACAATGAGAGTATTTGATGCTCTTCAGAGGAGATAATTAGATTTAGGAAGTTTCTAGCATAGCAAAAGGGAATATGATGCTGATAAGGCACATAGATTTGAAAGCAGAGGCAAAGGATTCATTGTAACAGGAAGGAGGGCAAACCTTGATTGTTGTCATTTAAATGATATATTGGTTTCTTGTGATTTTTCCTCTTTTATTGAAGTACAAGGCAATATCATCATTTGAGTAGAAGAATGGGGGATATTTAATGGTTAAGGAAATACAAAACAGTTGCTTTGGAGACTGAGGGAGCAAAGTCATGAAAAAATATGTGGTACCACTGAGCAATATTTGTCGATTTGACATTTTTGGTTGTTAATTTAAAGTAAGCCTGGTCAATTTTTGGGGTATCTGATTGTTTATTTCCCCAGAAATGTTTAACTGCATGCATACATGAAGAAGAAAGTAGGTGGGTTTTTACCAGGAGTAAGGCTATTGGATGAGAGAAAGGCAAAGGAATGAACACACTCACAAGATTCAGTTTTGATAATAAGCTGTGTAGGCCATGGAGTCCAGATGGTGTAAGGGCAGAAGTTAGAACTTCAGAGAATTAAATTTACTGAGGGTGTTGAGTTGGAGAATTTAAAAGCAATGGAATTTGTTTAGTCAGTTAACTGTTACTTATTTCATTTCTGACTAGTCCAGCTATGATAGATTAAACACTGGTCGTCTAACAAGAAAACATAAAGCTACTTTTTTACAAGCTCGTTGAGAAGATTTACTCTACGTTAAAAGTCAATTATTTCTTATGTAATTTAGGACTACTGAAGGTCATACAGTTACCATGAGGAATTAGCATAATATCCAAATAACTTGTTAAACCTATACATTACTTGCATTAGTATTGCCTTTATACTCAAGCAAGAAAGGCCTGGAATTTTTGAGGACATAATTCATAAGCACAAACCGAAAAAATATACTTATTAAGGAGGATAAAGGAATTTCTTTCATAGTTATGGCACTCAGCACTTGGCAGAGCAACATCTATAAAATCTACACATCTACTGTAGTGGTAACACCTTTCCGTCTCTAAGAAGGCAGTCTTCCATATAGGACAAGAGTCCTGTGACCTCATAACAAACTGCAACTGCTTCTGACTGTCATGAAGTTTGTATATTGCATTCCTGCCAATGTTAGAGATAGATATTGATTCAGAGTGTATGTAGGATTTGAGTGATGGATGTGCTTAGATAGGAGGAAAGACAAATTAATTAACTTGTCAAATCCTTCTTCTCAGACAGCAAGAATGCAATAGATTCTTGCATAATTAGGTATTGATTCCCAGTAGTTCCAAACATCTGTTTCCTTGCTTATCTTGATGTTCCCATTTGTGATTTCAGAGGAACTCATAAATTAGAAATGGTTTTCACAACAATGGCAAACGGAGGCTGATGTACATTTGTAATATTAAACAATTTATCTTACTCTTGAAATTGTCTATGCTCTTTAGACATAACATGCATGAAGTGCATCACCATTCTTTATACTGTCAGGTAGATGACTTTGAAACTTAGAATTGGAAGCAGTTTTACTGTAAAATGCTGTTGATGACATTTAGATGAATGTATACAATAAAATTAATTTTATGTAAATAAATTTTCACATTTTAATTATATTATATTGTCTTTTAATTTTAACAGATACATTTTACCAATTTCAAAGAAAAACGCCAATTAAAAGTACAAACAAAATAATCTTTATTAATGCAAACACTTGTATTTAATTTACATATTTATAAAAATAATTAAAAGTTGAAATATTGGACATACACTTTATTTTTAAGCATTCAGAAAATTGAGAATAAGTCATGATAGAATATGGCTCATGATAGAATTGAAAAATATAAAAATGTACCTCAGGCAGGGGAAAATAAAGTTGAAATTAAAAAGTGAGATAATCCTTAGAGAGCAAGACATACAAATTTGTGAACGAAATTAACAATTTCTCACCCTGTTACGAGCACTTTATCACTATCAGAAGAGCAATGTCTAAAGATACCATATTGTCTTAGTTCATTTTGTGCTGCACTAACAGAATATCAGAGACTGAGTAATTTATAATGAATAACAATTTATTGGCTCACAGTTTTGGATGCTGTGAAGTCTAAGATCGAGGGACTGACATCTGGTGAAGGCCTTCCTGCTGCATCATCCCATAGTGGAAGGGCAAAAGAGGGAAAGAGAAAGCGAGAGAGTGAACTCACAGCCTCAAGGCATTTTATAATTGCTATTAATCCATTCATAAGTGTAGAGGTCTCATGACCAAAATACTTCCCGTTAGGCCCCATTTCCCAATACTGTTACATTAGAAATTAAGTTTCCAGCCCATGCTTTCTGGAGGACACATTCAAATCACAGAAATGGAATTGAATTCTAAGTATTAGGATTTTGTGGAATCATAAAAAAAAAAACAACCGTGGCTTGGTTATCCAAGGTAATAAACATTCCATGAAGAAGAATCTACATTTATCTCACATTCAGAGAATGCAGCTGAATGTTTATCTTTTATTAAAGTTTATTTTTAAACTCATAAGAATCTAACACATTTTATAAAAATAATATCTATAATACTGAGTAGAGATATTTGACATAATTTACATCATCTAGTAACTTTGACTAGAAATAAGAATAGATACTGTATCCTTCACACTAAAACATGGTAAGTAAAAGCTCTTTTAAGCAAACACAATTTATTATTTGACTTAACAATATTGGTTTATTGGTAGGCATATGTAAAGTAGGCTTACTGTGCACTGGTAACCAACTTGTCTGAGTATGGTGAAAAAGAAAACCCACACATACGAGTTATATGAAGCAGGTCTATTACTTAGAGATAGGCTAAAAGGGAAACAGAAGCCTTGGATTTATTGTGAGCTGGTCCTGTAAGTTTCCGTGAAGCCACGTGAGGTGACTGGAGTCTCACTTGTGTATATCTCTCTTTCATCACAATTGAGGGTCCCCAGGAAACAGTCCATTCTGAGTTTTACATCCCAGGGACAGACCGCAGAAATCAGCTTGCTCTGAATTTTTTACCTCACAGGGCAACATGACACACAGGAAGAAAGCATTAAAGGACTTCCTGTTTCTAGGGGAGGACAGGAACAGAGCGGAAACGATTTCAGCTGTTACTTTCTTATCTCAGGGTGTTGCATTCCAAGCATATCCTACAGTTATTCTTGATAACTAAAAGTGAGAAAGGAGAAATAACTGGATTAGTCCAAGACTACTCAAAGAACTGACCTGCAGTACACCAACAGAAATGCGTTTTGGCCAGGCGCGGTGGCTCACGCTTGTAATCCCAGCATTTTGGGAGGCCAAGGCAGGTGGATCACCTGAAGTCAGGAGTTTGAGATCAGCCTGGTCAACATGGTGAAACACCATCTCTACTGAAAATACAAAAATTAGCTGGGCGTGGTGTCGGGCGCCTGTAATCCCAGCTACTCGGGAGACTGAGGCAGGAGAATCGCTGAACCCGGGAGGCAGAGGTTGCGGCGAGCCGAGATCGCGTCATTGCACTCCAGCCTGGGCAACAAGAGCAAAACTCAGTCTTTAAAATAAAATAAAATAAAATAAAATAAACAAAAATGCATTCTAACAAATGCTACTTTTTTGTTAAAACTCACCCCAATTGAATAAATTCCCAGGTGGCAACACAGACTCTTGAGGCTAATTCCCTGCTCTTTCATAACTAATTTTATTGATAGGTGTTAGTTTCTACTTTCCGACAATTTAAATTCTTCCCAAATATTTATGGAGTTGACCTCACACCTTGAAGAAGCTTGAATGTATCTCATACCTTGAAGAAGCTTGAATATTATCAAAATCCCCTGGGTCCTGACAGATGACTTTAGTGTATGGCTTTGCTATCAGCATTGTAGGGCATATATGCAAAACAAAAGAACATTAGCCTGTGAAGTGAAGATGAAATGCTATCTGAATTAAGAGGCAGTGTGATTTGCAGACAAGCAATGTGTTAAATCCCGGATTTAAGCAGGAATGTATTTTCAACCAAAAGTTAACTTTGTAAGACAAAGAATTTAAAAAATGCTAAACGTGTATTTCCGCTGTCAGACTAAACTATATGTAACTCAAAAGATACCTATTTCTAAGCTCAGTTTTTAATGTATAAAATCTTACGAATAAGCCATAACATTTTACTTTAATCTATGATAAATAATATATTAACATGTATATATTTTTGAAGTGTTATTACAGGTATTATTATCTATCTTAATACACATGCAATCCTCAATAAAACAATGTATTTTTAATGTATAGTCAACTGACTATAAATTGTAAACATGTAAAATTAGATTCTAAAATAAAGTGTACCAATGAAGGTAACAACTATCGGTGACAGGTGTTTCCATTCATGCTGATATGGCCATTTCTGCCACAAATTGGAATTAAACTTTCAAGTAAATCATACTGATCCTTTTTGACTTAAGAGTTCATTCTTACCTTACTTATTTCTTGATCATTTTATACAATACTGTGACACTATTTTAATTTGCTTCCAGGTCTCCCTTTCTTCTCTCTTTAATCCTTCTCTTATGTTTTTTGTCAGAATTTCCTTCCCTAACACAGATCTGATTTTGTCATTTAACTTTTTAAAAATCCCCCATGATTCTCAATTGCTTAGAATGGAATTCAAATTTCCTAGCAAACAATTAAAAAACTTCCATAATTTGAACCTGATATTTTTTCCAGGATTATAGCCAATTCAGTCCTCAAATATTGGATTCAAAGTGCTCATCATCTACTGAAAATGCTGTGCATTTTTATATCTATGTATATTGCTCATGCTGTTACTTCATCCTTCTCACCTTGCTCAGGTTGATGATATCTTATTCCTGATTCAAATTTCAATTCAAATGTTACATCATATACAAATACTTCTCTGACCCTAATATTTAGAATCAAACTCTCCCACTGCTGCTCTTTGATGGAAACCTTCTGAGGTAAGTACTCCACTCTCTTCTGCACTTTACCTTCTGTGTTCTCTCATTTTCTATTTTCCTCTTCACCAAAGAGCACATAGCTTTACAGGTACACACATAGGAACCAACATAAAATGCAAACGTTATCTTATGATATTCTTCAGCAAAAAAAAATTACTCTTATTTTTTTTTCTTTCCACAGAACCAAGCGTAGTTCTCAGCCGTGTTTCCTGTAGTGCATATTTCTGAATCACTTGAATAGAAGAGAGAGGATGAAGGGGCCCAGGTCACAATAGGCATAGAGATATAGAAAAAAAATTGTTTATGGTTGGAAATATAAACTTTGTGATACAACAAAGGGTATTTATCTCTGCATTTTTAACTGTCTGTAAAATATTTAAATATATTTTCATAATATTTTGGAAAAAAGTATCTATAGATACTGTGATACCATGCAGTCAACCAAATAGTATCATTGTCATTTGAATAATAGATCCATGAAAAATCATACGCACTTCAATCCACTGATAAAATGTGGCATTCTAATCTTATTAAAGATTTTCATTAAGGCAGAAATTTCAAAACCAAAAGCAGGACAGGAAGAAAGGCATGGTGTGATGGTTAATACTGAGTGTCAACTTGATTGAAGTATCGGATTGCTAAGTATTGATCATGGGTGTGTCTGTGAGGGTGTTGCCAAAGGAGTTTAACATTTGAGTCAGTGGCCTGAGGAAGGCAGACCTATCCTTAATCTGGGTGGGGACCATCTAATCAGCTTCCAGCGAATATAAAGCAGGCAGAAAAATGTAAAAAAAGCAAGACTGGCTTAGCCTCCCAGCCTACATCTTTCTCCCATACTGGATGCTTCCTGCCCTCAAACATCGGACTCCAAGTTCTTCCGCTTTGGGACTTGGACTGGCTTCTTTGCTCCTCAGCTTGCAGATGGCCTACTGTGGGACCTATGATCTTGTGATTTAATACTAGCTAATAAATTCCCATATACATATATACACGTGTATATATATATATATATGTATATCTCCTATTAGTTCTTTTCCTCTGGAGAACTCTGACTAATACTCATGGCCTTTATAATTTAAATGCTATCACAGACATTTTACATTTTAAATTTTAAAATGCTTCATTGGAAACTCTGGGGTTTTTTCTGTTAGTACTCCAACTATTCTCTTCAAAATGAAATTAGAAAGATAGCATCAATAAATCATTTTAGTTGCATATATTACATGAATTGTTTTAAGGAATCATCCATTGTGTCTATCAATAAGCATATTTGCTTGTTAAAATTTTTAAAAAGTCATTGCCTTATTTAGAAGCATCAATATTTGCAATCGAGGAAGCCGTATGGTTAGCATCAGAAATCCTACTTCAAGTCTATATATCTATTACCATTATTATCTTTGTTTCTTCTCAGGCTTGTTTTATTTAACAGATGATTTCATTGTAATATTTTAGTAAAGTCGATTTTTTAGCCCACTCTCAAATTTCGTATTTTAACTCTCTTTTGCATAATTCAAGCCCACATTTTCATTACAATTTTTCAGTGCAAATAGAACATCAAACAGGCTAAAAAAATCTAACAGTTTAGGTAAGATTTCCCAATCCTAGACAATAACTAAAATTGAGCTTGTTAGAATAAAACAGGTAGACAAATCATAACGTTAAAGTTGCTTGAAATTGTTATGATCAACTGTTTGATAAATGAGAAAACTAAGTTAACAGGCAACATAACTAACTTTCCTGAAATCCTAAACCTATAATTAAAACTTTAACCTTTTGTCTCTCTCTCTCAGTTGTCCTCGTCTAGCACCAAACAAGCAATTTCCAAGAATCCATCTATTCTTGTTGTGCATAGCGCCGCTTATAAATTTCTGTAAAAAAATTTTCAACTTTGTTAGCTGATCACACTTAAAAGTCATGACTGCAGCCAGGTGCAGTGGCTCACGCCTGCAATCCTAGCACTTTGGGAGGCCAAGGCGGGCAGATACCTGAGGTCAGGAGTCAGAGACCAGCCTGGCAAACGTGGCAAAACCCCCTCTTTACTAAAAATACAAAAATTAGCCAGGCATGGTGGCATGCGCCTGTAATCCCAGCTACTCAGAAGGCTGAGGCAGGAGAATTGCTTGAACCGGAGAGGTGGAGGTTGCAATAAGCCGAGATGGTGCCATTGCACTCCAGCCTGGATGACAGAGCGAGACTTCGTCAAAAAATAAAAAATAAATAAATAAATAAATAAATAAATAAATAAATAAATAAGACATGACTGTAAAACTGAAAATAATACATAACTTTCCTACAAGAGTTCCAGAGTAGCTCCTATTCCTGTATATTTTAAGGATAACAAAATTTCCTCTTCTAAATCTTACAATGTGCTTATCTTTTCCTCACAATATCAACTTGTCTTTGTACCTCGATGATATAATAGAAGCAATTTAAATAGAAGCTCACATAATCAAATTCATAAATACACTAGAATTTGTTCATGCATTTTCTCTCTTTCATCCTGTTAGAAAAGCAGAAATCACTATGGTACTCTAAAAAGCCAAATCTTTTACATGTGCTCCTTCTCTATTCCCTTTTAACATGTGGCTATCAGTCATTTTTGTGTGTAGATATAAAAAACCTCACCATATCCTTGATTATTCTTATAATTATAAATTTCTAGTCTATAAATAAAACAAACAAAAATCACTGCCCCTTGTCTACCGAAGCCCTTCTAAGCTGTTTCTCCATTCCACTGCTTTCTTTCAATCCAGTCTCTAAAAAAGATAACTGCACTATTGACATTGCCACATTATATTCACCTTTCAGCAAATATCAGTCTGATTCATGTTTCCTCCATTCCACTAAAACCAGTATTTTCTACGTTGAAAAAGAATATTGTTTTCCCAAATCGACTACCTCTGTTTTTATTCTGCCCTAACACTCAGGAGCTTTCATGAAAATTTACATCTCTTTCCTACTGACATCATGTTTTACCTGTTTAATAAGTTTGCATTTGTGTGTGTTTTCTCTGGTCCCCATAAATGCTTATTTCTAAACTGCTGAATACACCATGGCTCCATTATGTTTTAGTGCCTGGTTCTTCAGTCTCGGGATCTGTCTTTCGTATCTTCAGTCTTTCCCAGAAGACTTCATCTGGTTCCACGGCTGAAACACCGTATCTGGTCTGACTACTAAAAGTATTCCTAGCCTTGAATCGTTCTCTGATTTATAGGTTTTTATGTTTAAGTATCTAACTGATCATTATCTTAAATGTAACATGTCCAGATAGTACATTTGACATGGCTTCCAAAACTTATTTTTTTCAATATTATTTTTCTATCTTGGTAAATGCCACTATTAGCCACCCAGTTGTTCAAGCTAAAAGTCTGTCACACTCACTTACTTCTCGTCTCGCCCTTCCTCTAATCCCTCAACCAGTTCTATTGTTTTCTACCTAGAAAACATATCTACATTGCTCTCACTTCCCTTCATAACCAACTTATCATGCCGGCATCATCTTTTGCCTAAACTTCTGAAATAGTCTTTCTTTCTAGTTTCTCCACAACTTATTTTCCAACATCTAGACCAGGTTTCACAAACTGGCTACAGCCCCACATCTTCCACTTATTCAACATTAAGCCTACGTCATTCTTAAATGGTCCATGCTTTATACTAATGGGACCTGGGTTTTAAATTCCTGATCTAGAGTAATATTAAAAAGATATATATATATAATATGTAATTTTATATATTTTCTTTGACTTGGACATCATCCTCAGTTTCCCCCAGACTAATCTCAGTAAGTGTTTTTTTCCTCATATCTTGCTGTCTTCATCTTGTACCTCTATTTAAAATTCATCAGTGACTTAATTAAACTCAAATACCACTCATAACCCAGCTGTCACAGCCAAGAACTCAGAAGCATCTGGGAATACAAAAACAAAGCAAAATAGGCAGTGCAACCAAGCATTAAAAGGAATGGAATGGAGAATTCCTCTAGAGGTAGGGGATTACCACAAGAGAACAATAATTTGGTGCTCTACCTAACTCAGAAGTATTTTGCAAGATCAAATTCCACCTGTAATTGTTTGGATGCTCTGGGAAATGCAGACAGCACTGTCTGGTGATCACAGTACATATTTCAATGTCTTAAAGGTAATTAGGCAAGTTGGGCTGCATTGTTTTTCAGCACATATTATGCAGAAGCACAGTGATTATAAGGCAATTTTATGTAAGCTGCATCCTTTAAATCATGTAAAACTTCTTTTTCCTGAAAGAAATGCCCCAAATATCAAACCACAACTCTATCACTAATTGTTATGGTTTCATGAGACATAGAAAAATGAAAAAAAATTGCCCTAGTTTCAACGAAAAATTTGAAGATAGACATTGAATTTTAATCAAAAACACCATTAGCATTTTCAAAAAACTCTGGCTTTGCAATACTTGAAGCTTAGACAATGATATGTAAAACCCTATTAATCAGACATAAAGCATGAGATTCTTATCTGCCGGACAGAGCAAATCAATTTTGCATCCAGTGACAAAACTGTTTATCAACCAACAAGCAATCTGGCAAGATACAAATGTTGACTACAAAATAGTATTTTGGTGGGGAGTTAGTTTTCTAGTAAAGGAAATTGTTTCCTAAAATACTGTGTTACTATTCTCATAAAATATTCCTAGATACTATATTGACCTCCAGAAGCAACAATAGAGCCCAACAGTAAAGAACATATACTGTGTCATTTACTAGCTGTGTGAATTTCAGAAAATTACTTACATGCATGCCTCAGTTCCTCTTCTGTATAAGAAAAACAGTAAACTATAATGGCATTTGATCAGTAAAATTTTTTTGAAAAGTAAAACTAGTTAATATATTTAAAAAGCTTATAAAAACATCAGGTAAAGAGTATTAATGAGTGTTTACTGTAATTATTACTATTTATTATGGTGACCATTGTTCCTATTGTTATCACTTAAATGGAGAATAAAATAATTTGATCCTGTTTCATATTAATTATTAATATAAACAACTTTTTTATTATTGTATATTTTCACTGGTGTTACTATCTCTCGGTAGTTATAGAATTAAATACAAGTAAAATATATTAAGCATTTTACATACTTTAGAAAATCTGGCTTACTCTAATTCTCCCAATAACTTGTGTTGTATGTAATATATCCATTTTTATCTTCAAATGAGTTTTCTAAGTTAAAAAAATTAAGGAACCTGGTTAAAACATTCAGAATTTTGACTCCAAATCTGAATTCATTTAGATTGCCTCCAAATTGCCTTCATTTAGTAAATTGTAAATTCTCAAGAATACACTGAAATCCTAGCCTTCAGCTGGAACTGGATTGGTCCTTCACTGTAGTGGAAAAGAAGATGATGATGAAAAGCAAAATAGCTAAAAAAAATTAAAAAATTATAGAATATATATTTCAATGTGTTTTTCTTTGTTTGATCTAATGATCTTTGTTAAAGTGCCAGATTTACATTGGAAACTTTTTTTTTTATTTTTCAGATTTCAGAAAGGTAAGTTCTTGTATGAAATATATATATTAGATAACGGTAAATTTTTGCATGATATATATATTTCTTTATATATATGCATATATATTATACATATATGTATATATACACATACTCTCAGAAGGAATAGTGGGAAAAGGAGTGGTTATACTGAGGTTCTGATTAATTCAATTCAAATTGTGCAGCCAAGACTTTGTCATACACTTCACAACATTTTTATTTATTTTGAGAGATTTGGGATTTCAAAATGGTGAACTATATATAGTTGGGCTCTGTGTCTCCACCCAAATATCATGTTGAATTATAATCCAGGGACCTGGTGGGAGGTGACTGGATCATGGGGGTGGATTTCCCCCTTGCTGTTCTTGTGATAGTGAGTGAGGTCTCACCAGAACTGGTTGTTTGAAAGTGTGTAGCACTTCCTCATTTGCTCTCTCTCTCCTATTGCCCTATTGCCATATGAAGACATGTTTCATTCCGCCTCAGCTTTCTACTATGATTGTAAGTTTCCTGAGGCCTCCCCAGCTGTGTTTCCTGTATAGCTTGCAGAAATGTGAGTCAATTATACCGCTTTTCTTTATGTATCACCCAGTCTCAAGTAGTTCTTTATAGCATTGTGAGAACGAACTAATATAGTGAACAAGAAATAGTTCACTTGATTTTACTTACCATATCATTAAGTTGATTTTCTAATTAAGGGTGCTTATTCTTTGCCTTAGCAATTGGCTAAAAAAACTTATAGCCATATATATTGCCTATAATATAGAATAAATTTCTTGGCATTTATACCTTTAATCTTAGTTCTCAGTAATTGACTAATGAGGCCAAGTTGGAATGGCATAAAATACTATTAAGAATAAAATTGACAAATTCAGACACCTATCCATTTAACAATTAAGTATCTATTTTTCTATCTACCTATTTATCTTTTTTATGAATAATAAAATTCCATGAAGAAAGTTGAAAACTTAAGTTTCAGTAATTCTGCATCTGTATGTTTGCACACTGGGAAATTTGCATATATCCTAACACAGCAAACTTATTTTTAAAAAGATGTGTGGCTCTTTCTTAGCCTAAATCAGATCCTCAAAATAATCCATAAACCAAAATCAAAAATTAAAGAAAACAAATTACAAATTTTACAATTAAATTTTCTTATAAATAAAGGTAAATTCCAAAAGTACATTATTGATGTACCCTCCCAGAGAATTTGCAAGTTTGAAATTACGGGAAGTGGAGTATTCTGCATACATCCATTCCTCAGATCCTGATACAATCTATATCAGTGCACCTGAAGTGGAATAATGAGTAAGAGAGGAATGGCGAGCAAAGCACAACCCATGTTTGCAGCATAATCATTTCTCGTCCACTGTGCCTGAAGTTGAAGCTGTATCCAATGTGGTCATTGTTCATTTAGTAGAAATTATTTAGTTCCATATTTTACAAAAGTGACATTAGAACTAAAGATGTATGTTTATGACAATTTGCTGTTTGTTTATAGTGGAGAAGATCAATAGAGTTTCTTTGCATTAATATTCTCTAAGATATTGCTCCAGATCTCAAGTATATAAAAGTGGAATAGAAAATCATTCCTCTGAAGATTTTACTGTGACAACTTCCAAGTATAGTCATGTGTCACATAACGTTTCAGTTAATAATGGACCACATATATGAAGATGGTCCCAAATGGTTATAACACCATATTTTTACAGTACCTTTTCTATTCTTAGATATATTTATATTAATGAATACCACTGCATTAAAATTGCCTGCAGTATTCAACACAGTAATCTGCTGTTCAGGCTTGTAGCCTAGGAGCAATAGGCTATACCACACAGCCAAGGTATATAGAAGGCTAGACCATATAGGTTTGTGTAAGTGCAGTCTATGCTGTTTGCATAGCAACAAAATTGCCTAATGACATATTTCTAAGAACATATCCCCCCTTGTTAAGTGATGCAAGACTATAGTACACAGGGTTTTCATTTAAATATAATGAAAGGAAATGTCCATGTTTCAACCTTTGCCAATTGTGTTCAACACTCTACTGAGAGCAGCCAGACGCAGAGTGACTTCTGACAGTGGAAGGAGCTTTGGGCTCTGGTCAGATTCATACAAGACTCATGCAATATAAAATGAAAATGGACCTCTGAGACTCATATGTGTAGAAATAATTTACTTTCACAAAAGAAAACATTAAATCACATAAATAGAGTAAAACAAAACAAGTAAAATACTGCCTAGAAAACATTCAATAAACATTGGACTTATAAGACACATGGAAGTTATGTAATGGAAACATTTTATATTATTAAATATAAATTTCAAATTCCTCTCCCGTTCACATAAGCTTGAATGTTTGGGGGCCATGCTTGTAGAAAGCTAAATTCATTTCTGTTAGCTCAATAAATAATGATGAAAATTTAAGCCTTGGGAAAATATTGAATGTAAGTTATTTTCTCTTATGTTTATGCCTATAAGTTCTGCTGTAAGCTATAATTTTGAAGAATCTAAAGACTATTACGGGAAACACTATGATAAAAGTTCACACAAAATGCTCGAGTTGTTTTTTCAAGAAGAACCTATATCATCTAAATATTTCCTTTTTTTGTGTACATAGACTGGATGCCCATGAAGGACAGATGCATGAAAATCAGCAAGATCAAATAGAAAAAACGAGAGTCACTTAAAACTATTATTTGAATATGCATGGTCATTCAGTTTGGAATTGAAATATGTGGAAATAATTAACTTTAATTTAATAATATCCAATACAATTTAAGCAGAGTTTAAGAAAATATTATCTGAATATCTGGCTGCAATTAGGACATATTTGGAAACATTTGCAAAAACTAAAGCGATAGGAAATAAGTAGTATCATAACGGATGAGCTGTTTTTGTGTCAAAGAATGAGCCAAAGCTCTTCCAAGTCTACAGGTGAGAGTTTAGAGGTAGGGGAAGAGCACAGAATTAAACTGCCATTTTCATTACATTATATTATGCTATGAACACTACTTACAGTTGGTGTTGACCTTGGTCATCTGGCTTAAATGTTTTTCAGGTTTCTCCAATATAAAATTTATCCTTTTATCCCCTTTCCATGCTGTATTCTTTGGAAGGAAGAACTGTATCTATGCATAGCCCACACTTAAAGAGTAAGAGTTATACTCCATTTGGTGGTAGCATATTTGCTTAAATTATTTGGAATTGCTCTGCAAGAGAGAATTCTTTATTTTTCCTTATTTCTTTATATATCCAAGCATTTATTCATATTGGTATGAATTCATGGTTATTTTTTTTATGTGTTATATTCTAGTATTACTTTATTATATTTTCTTGCTCATATTGTTCTAGGATTGACTATCAGAAGCTCTATCAGTTGATGTCTATGTTCCTTTGACATACACTCATTATTGTGGAGGGGTGTGTGTGTGTGTGTGTGTGTTTCATTATTTTTCAGGTACTTTAAGTACTTCCTTGCTTTCTGGTATCACAAGAAAACAAAGTTGCATCAAGATGCTTCAGTTTCAACTTATATATTTTTGCCTCAGTATTGTGTGTGTGTGTATATATATATGTGTGTGTGTATATATATAAATCCCTTCAAAAGGGACTATAATGTTTATGCATGCAATATTTATGCCTTCCCATAAAACTAACTTAAACCCTTTATTGCAATACAAAAACAGTATGTACAAGACTTGGTAGTTGCTGTTTGACTCCATGTGGTGTTAAAGCACCTATAGAAAGGTTACTATTTATAATAGTCAACTTGTTTTTAACTCAATGTGCCAAAGTGTTGTGAAATTTATAATATGTTTTAGAGAAAAATCACAAACACGTATTTATGAAAATGCCGAGAAACTGAGTTTTAGGGGATAATATGGTCATATCATCATCAAATATTGGAAAGTAATTGTAAAATAATACACAATTAATTTTTATTGCTGCATTGTGCATTTTTCTCTTCTATATTTCCTCCTTCTGTGCCTTAACAGTGAAGTCAGATGATTTGAGTTTCAAGGGCACCAAACTTTTATTAGTTACTCAAAAATGTTTAGATCTCATTTAAAAAGCAAACAAGTTTTACTGTTCCATGTAGTCATCACTACTGAGAATACAAAGCAAACCTAATGGAATAAATACACATGTTTATATACATCTATATCAAAATCCACACACATGCATATGTAATAATAAATTTACACATGTATACATACGTACATATGTGTGTGTATATATAGAGAGACAGACATATGTGTGTATGTAGAGAGAGAGAGAGAGAGACTCAAATTCTACACCAAAAAAAAAAATCTGTATAAAAGAGTGTCCAATAAAGGCTGGGAAATTATTTGTCCATCTTCAGAAGAAGAGTGAGTCACAACAGACAAAAAAAATTAAGTTCAATTCCTCAAATATTTATTGACTGCTTAGTACATTACAGACCTGGTGGTTAGCAGTGGAGGTGAAGTGATAATTAGTATGCCCAGTGGTAATTTGTAGTCTAATGACATCTACAACTTGAGAAATAGCTATAGTGCAATATGTTAAAGCTACGTAGAAGAGCAGAGAGCCAAGTGACCTTTGATAGACAAAAATACATTGGAAGAGTGTGCATTGGACTCTATAAGGGAACCACTGGCAGTGCAGAGGTGAGTGGCTCTGGTGCAAGTAACACACATCATGGCTTCGTCAGAGCCTGCACCAGCTGTTCAGATGAAAGCAGTTGATGTGCTCACCATTACCACAGTATGAGTCTCCAGGGGCCATCAGGACAGGAGTGGCAGTGCTGAGGGCAGTGGAATAGCCAGAGTTCACCAGCCATCCAGAGAAGCTCATAGTCTGGGTTAAGGTGGTGATAGAGATGGTACAGCCCTCACTCAAGGAGATTATGAAGTGATGACCCGTAGCAAAGTGAGAATAGCAGTGAAAAGAACTTCTCAGACCTTTTTGTGAGTATGAATGATTATTAAATACTAGAGAGAGAAAGAAAACTAAAAAAAAACTTCGATAACTTCTCATAATGCTGGTGGGGAGTTAAGTCGTTAATGGAATTTCTGTTGGAATTATAAATCCTTAAAATGATGAGGCCTGGGGAAGACAGTAAGGACAATTAATATGCTAAGTTGTATCACATGGAAACCATTTTATAAAATACAGAAAGTTGTATAAATAGCCAAAATGTAAGTAGACTTATGGTTTAATGAATAATTACTTCCAAAAATTGTCAATATGAAAATATTGTGGAGATAGAATGACAGATATTCACATACATTTTATATAAAGTATAAAAAGCCATCTTAATTAATCCTGGGGTCCCTTAATGGAAACATCCTCTTATTATATTACTTTATTAACTTGCTGCAGGATAATTCTTATGTGAGTAACTAAACCTTTCAATAGTCCCTTCTGAATCACTCTTTGGAATTTAATATTATTAAAGCAATGCACTTGATCTCAGTTTTTAGTCTTTGTAAGAAAAAAAAATGGTCTCTGAGTCAAAGAAAAGTGTTGAGCAGTAATTAGTTTGGGCAGGGAAATTTATATCAGTGTGCCATCATCTTCTCCACTGGCGTGCTGGTAGCAGGATGACCTCCAGCTCATTCACCAGCATTTCAGATGTGCAGCACTACTGCTTAGTAACATCTGTGATGTTCCCAAAGACTGGTTTTGCTTTCTGAGGAAATTTTGCTTATTCACATCTGTTTTCAAGGTTGTTAAGGAGTAAAATGCTTTCTTTACCAGTGCATATGCAAAGCACTGTAAACTGTGCTTTTTTTGGTAGAATGACATTACTCATTATTGTTTTTAATATTGATATTAGCTGTCAAATACCGTTTTGATCTTAATTATGCCTAAACAAAAAGGAAAGGAAGATACTTAACACACATACCAACTTGTTTTACATAAAAAAGTAACTTCACTTTTGACTGAAGACTAACTTAAACTAATTTCTGTAAGTTCAAAGCACTGAAACTGCAGGGAAGAAAATATGCCCCTTTATTGACTGCATGTATTTGTGCTTATAAAAATTATTTTATGGTTGGGCGCGGTGGCTCATGCCTGTAATCCCAGCACTTTGGGAGGCCAAGCCAGGTGGATCACGTGGTCAAGAGATTGAGACCATCCTGGCTAACACGGTGAAACTCCGTTTCTACTAAAAATACAAAAAAATTAGGCGGGCATGGTGGCGAGTGCCTGTAGTCCCAGCTACTCAGGAGGCTGAGGCAGGAGAATGGCATGAACCCCAGAGGCAGAGCTTGCAGTGAGCTGAGATTGCGCCGCTGCACTCCAGCCTGGGCGACAGAGCCAGACTCCGTCTAAAAAAAAAAAAAATTATTTTAGAATATTAGGAAATTTATCTGTCTTGCTATAATCACACCAATTTCATAACAAAAATTTTCTTTGCTAATAATTGGTTAAACTAAAGACTTAACCATCTCTGCATAATTTAAAAAGAGCTTTAAATCACCAAAAATTATTATCGTTCCTTCATTTTTTATTTAACTTCTGGTAAATCTTAACTAATATTCTAATAAGTTTGAAAAAGAAAAAATATATACAATCTAGATATAGTGTAAGACTTTGGTGAAGGATTAATACCATAAATATTTATGAAATATAGTTACTCACAAATAATTTTAAAACAATAACTTCTCCGTTGTTACTAGTACTTTGATGTATATATGTTGTTATCAACTAATGGAGATACATTTTAGTGATGAAAAGATTTTTTACGCTTAAGGATATCAAGACCTACTTA
This sequence comes from Homo sapiens, assembly GCF_000001405.40. NCBI lineage: Eukaryota > Metazoa > Chordata > Mammalia > Primates > Hominidae > Homo > Homo sapiens. The sequence goes on from NC_000004.12 coordinate 116,546,273, forward strand.
TTAAATTTAATTGGCACTATTATAATGATAATGTTTACACTTTTCATTCAGTTGCCCTAAATCATTATAATACCACCCCTTTTCCCAAAATATCAGAGACAAATGAATATTGAAGCTAGTCCTGATTCCTGCTCTTACCCTCTGCTTATAGTTATCATTAAAATCACCATTTTGTTTCAAATTATGTATTTGCCTCTCTTGTTTTCCTAACCACATTGCAAACTGCACGGTTAGTGCCTATTTCTCCAATATTTGGCACAGTACAGAGCACATGAGGGAAATTTAACATACACTTATGCCAAAGGTTCCCAACCTTTTTGTCACCAGGGACCAGTTTCATGAACGACATTTTTTCCACAAACCAGGGGAAGGCAGAGGTGGTTTGGGGGATGATTCAAGCACATTAAATTTATTGTGCACTTTATTTCTATTAATATTACATTGTAATATATAGGGAAATAATTATACAACTCACCATAATGTAGCATCAGTGGGAGCCCTGAATTTGTTTTTCTGCAAATAGATGGTCCCATGTGGGAGTGATGGGAGATAATGGCAGATCATCAGGCATTAGATTATCATGAGGAGCACACAATCTAGATTTCTCACATAAGCAGTTCATAATAGGGTCCACACTCCTATGAGAGTCTAATGCCACTGCTGATCTGACAGGATGCAGAGCTCAGGTGGTAATGTGAGCAATGGGGAGCGGCTGTAAATAAAAATGAAGCTTTGCTCCCTTGCCCTCTGCTCACTTCCTGCTGTGTTGCCTGGTTCCTAACCAGGCCAAGGGCAGTAGCAGTCCATGGTCTGGGGTTTGGGAACTCCTGATTTATGCAACTGAATGTAAATAGATATGTTAATTTGCAAAATGCTTGATTTTCAAATTGGATAAGTTTGATTCTCATTTATTATGAAAATATACTATTTACAGACCAAAAAAAAAAAAAAGAACTAAATTGGGGTTTGAAAAGAGAGGCATTTTTAGAGAGGCACTAGTACTATGGTTTGTGCTTAATTTTTTTTAAATGATTTTCAGTATTTTTTATTTGGCAGTAAGTAGATGGCTTATTGTTCATTATCCTTGATAAATTTATACCGTGTATGGTCAATATTAGACCATAAACTACTTGAAGGCAGCAATTTAACACTTCACTATATATCTAACATTTCTATAGCAACTTCTATGTTGCCTTTTTCAAAATAGAACTCAAATCATATATTCATCAACTATGACTGCTATAAAAAGTAATTCAACTTAGCAAATATCGAGTACTTGCTGTGTCCATCGCTGTGCTCAGTCTTGCACATAAAGTTTAAAAAACAATTCCTTTTCTCACTGTTTATAGCCTGGTGGAGAAGTATACTAATTATTAGGGAATAAACATACAAATAATTGATGTGATTGGGGAAACTAAACCAGGCATGCTTGGTGTAAGTGAGTCTTCAAAGAACAGATGTCTATGCTGTGAACTAGAGAACAAGGAAGGATTGGATAATGTAAACAGTGGAAGAGAGTCTTCCTGACAGAAGAGAGGGTATAGGAAACTTTTTTGAAAAATAATGATGTCATCAAATTTGCATTTAAGAAAATATTATTGGCTATATTTTGGAGAATGGTGTGGTGAGGATCAGACAAAAATTGGTCAAACAGCAAACTGTTTTATAAAACTCCACAAGAGCATATGATTTTCTGTACTAAAGTAGTAACAGCGAGAATGGAAGAAACAGTTTTCGGAGACTAGTGACAGGATTGTCTTAATAGGACTTGGTCTTTTTACAAATGTTAGTTGGAGAGAAAGTGTGTTAAACATTTACATCACTCACCTTTCTGCTTCAGCTATGTTGGAACTATTGGCACCTTTCTCTAAAATAGAAAACATGGGAGGAGAGGTTTGTGGGGAAAAATAAATTGAGTTTTACATATATTAAATGTGAGATGGCCTTGAGCTATTAAAATACAGGTAACTGATAGCAATTGTTTATATATGTCTTGAGATGGGGAGAAAGATATCAGCTAAAGATGCTTTTTAGGGAGTAATCACCATACAGATAGACAATGACTGAAGATAAAGTGGTAAGACATTTCTATGGATGAAGATTCATGCGGATAAAATAGCCTGCAACAAAAGCAACAACCACCAAACAATAATCAGCATTGCTAGAGACAGTTTAAGAAAAGCATTAAAACTAAGGAGAATCTTTGTGAAAGAATCTTTCTACCCTGTCATCCTAAGAGATCTCATCCTGAAATAAGAATAGGAAAAATAAAATATAATTTAGCTGAAAAAATTTTCACTAATGTGTGTAGAAAACTTTATAAATCATATGTTTAAAATATCAAAAGCAAAATTGTGTGATCAATAGTCTTTACACTTAAAAACAATTCTTCTCCAAACTAAGGTTTTCAAATAATTTCAGAAGAACTTAAAAGATTTGCATTGACTCCATTGAAGATGATGAAGCCGGGAGAGCACAATGTATGCATAGCCTTGAAGCATTATAATGTAGATTCTATACAGCTTTTCTACAGATTGAATTGGATACACAAATTACCCACTTAGACAGAATTTCAAAATATATATGTCTAACCAAAGTAGTTACTTTAAAAACACTTCTATATTATGTTTTTCATATTGTATACATTACATAAATTCATATCATGGTATTGAGCACTTTTACATGTATTTTATATGGTAAGAAAATATATTTTATGAAATAACTATATTTAATAGATGTTTCAGAAAAGCATAAAATGACTTATTGGAAAATTTTAAAAAGTAATATCCTTTGTATTTATTTTGTTAAATAACTAGCTTTGTGAGCAATCAAGATCAATTAACCAAAAATAATATACTCATTGCATTTCACGGAAAACATTACAACTTACAAGTATGTCAGCAATAAGAAACCTTTGTTTTAAGTATACCTTTATTTAAAGTGAACAACTGTGTTGTTCTCTCTTAAGTCTATGAGAGCTGCAATTTGCTATCCTTGGAATGAGAGAAGAAAGTCATGCACTCCCTCTGAATCTGCATGATCAACTTTCTCAATGTCTGTGAACACACCAAGCACCTGCCTACACCAGGACTGTTGCCCTTGTCATTCCTTCTGCCTGGGATTTCCCCCCAAATACATGCATATTTTGTTCCCTTATCTCCTCATGTTGATTTTCAAATATCACCTTCTCTGAATTTTTCTCTGATCACCTCAGCTTATAAACTTCAACTCCACTTCCAGTCTTTAGCACTGTCTACCTTGCTTACTTTTCTTATTTCTCCACAGTAGTAATCATCCTATACATAATATCTATTTTATTCTATATTTTTCCATTGACTCATGCTAGTATGTGATCCTCTTAAATTATGCATTTTATTGACTGTTTTGCTCACTGCTACATCCTCACAGTTAAGGAAAATATTCATTAAATTACAAATGTCCTATATATTTATATTTGTTAAAATAATTATTCATTTCTGTGATTAAAATATATTATAAAAGAGAGTTAAAGGATGATTGTTAATTAGACATTTAAACAATGTCTTCAGATACACATAATTTAGCATAATTCTACTTCACACATACTGTATTAATCTTTAGTCTATGAAATTTATTATTAGAACATATGGAGAAGAAAATAGAAAGACTTAAGCAGCTTATATTTCAGTAAATCAGTTTTTGTTTCTTCGGGAGTTCTTTGGGAACTAACAATGTTCCCTGAAGTTGTTAGTATACTTTCTGAAATAAATAATATTTTTTAAAAAAGGCTTTCTATTCAAAATCTCTTCTGAGATAAACATTGAAACCAAAGTTATAATACAAGAAACAGTCAGATTAACATGCCACAGTGGATAACATGGGAACAACTGGCCACCAACACTGCCACTAGGCAGTGAATGTGACATTTAATTTTACAATAATTTTATCACAAGTTCATACATACAAGCACACACAAGACACACATACACACTCGTGCCCACACATTCAGAGGCTGTTACAAAATTGATGTTATCTTTCTTGAGGTAAAAACACGCCTAATGTCCAGAAGGCGGAGTTTTTGTAAGATGTAGATTATTGCTCTAACTCCATGAATTTTGACGGGGTTAAGAATAATGCAGTCACTACTTTAGGATATTGGACTTACATCAGGAGTACAGTAAATAATGTTGATTAATTAAAACAAAGTAAATTACTATAAATAAAGAATCCCTGTTTATCAGATCATGGAGCTTTTGGGCAGAGACTATAGAGTTATTTAGATATGGAATCATATTATCTGAAAATAGGGATAGTTTTAGATCTTCTCTTACTATTTGGATGCTGTTTACTTCTATCTCTTGCCTTATTTTTTTCTGGCCAGGATTTGTAGTCCTATGTTGAACAGGAGTAATGTGAGAAGTTAACCTTGTCTTTTTCCAGTTTTCAATGGAAATGCTTCTATCTTTTGCCCATTCAGTAAAATGTTGGCTGTGAGTTTGTCTTAGATAGCTCTTATTATTTTTAAGTATGTTCTTTTTGTGCACAGTTTTTGAGGGTTTTTAACATGAAGGGATGTTGCATTTTATTGAAGGCCTTATCTGCATCTATTGAGATAATCACGTGGCTTTTGTTTTTAGTTCTGTTTAAGTGATGAATCATATTTGTAGATTTGTGTGTGTTGAACCAGCCTTGCGTCAGAGAAATAAAGACTACTTGATCTTGGTGAATTAACTTTTTGATGTGCTGCTGGATTTGGCTTACTAATATTTTGTTGAGGATTTTTGCATCTATGTTCATCAAGGATATTGGCCTGAAGTCTTTTTTTTTAATTGCATGTATGCCAGGTTTTGGTGTCAGGATGATGCTGCCTTCATAAAATGAGTTAGGGAGGAGTACCTCCTAGGGACTGGAGGAGTGGGACTTACCATTCTTTATATATTTAGTAGAATTTTGGTGTGAATCCATCTGGTCCCAGGCTATTTTTTGATTAGCAGGCTTTTTATTACTGATTTAATTTTCAAACTTGTCGTTAGTCTGTTAAGGTATTTAATTTCTTTCTGATTCAGTCTTGGGAGAGTATATGTTTCCAGGAATTTAGCCATCTCTTGTAGTTTTTCTAGCTTGTGTACATAAGGGTGTTCCTAGTAGTCTCTGTGGGTTTTGTATTTCTGTGGGGTCAGCGGTAAAACTCTCTTTGTCATTTGTGTTTATTTGGATCATCTATCTCTTCTTTATTAGTTGAGCTAGTGATCTACATATCTTGCTAAATTTTTTTGAAAAATAAAAACAATTCCTAGTTTTGTTGGTCTTTTCTATAGTTTTTTTTGTGTCCCAATTTCCTTCAATTCATCTTTGGTTTTGGCCATTTCTTGTCTTCTGCTATCTCTGGGGTTAGTTTGCTCTTGTTTCCCTAGTTCCTCTAGTTGTGATGTTAAGTTGTTAATTTGAGATCTTTATAACTTCTTGATGTGGGTATTTAGTGCTATAAACTCCCATCTTAACACTGTCTTAGCCATATCCCAGAGATTGTGGTGCATTGTATCTTTGTTCTCAGTAGTTCCAAAGAACTTCTTGATTTCTGCCTTAATTTCATTATTTATCCAAAAGTCATTCAGGAGCAGTTTGTTTAATTTCCATGTAATTACATGCTTTTGAGTTGACATTTTTAGTCTTGGCTTTTTTTTTATTGTACTGTAGTCCAACTGTGTTTGGTATGATTTTGTTTATTTTGAATTTTCAGAGGATTGATTTATAGCCAACTGTGTGTTCAATTTTAGAGTGTGTGCTATGTGCAGATAAGAAGCTTGTTCTGTTGTTTTTTGGCGGAGTGTTCTTTAGATGTCTATTAGGTTCATTTGTTGAAGTGTTGAGTTCAGGTCCTGTATATATTTGTTAGATTTCTACCTGAGTTATCTGTGTGGCTTGTAGGGTTTCTGCTGAAAGCTCCACTGTTAGCTTGATAGGGTTCCCTTTGTAGGTGACTCGCACCTTCTCTCTAGCTGCTTTAACATTTTTAATTTCATTTTGACCTAGAAGAATCTGATGATTATGTGTCCTGAGAATGATGTTCTTGAAATTCAGGAGTAAGTCAAAACACAATCCAAGAATTCTAAGGAATACAATACAACAATACAGGGGAGGAAAGAAAAAAATGGCCATTTTAAGAAAGAACCAAACTCAGCTGAAAGAGCTAATCAACTAACTTCAAAATTTTCAGAATACAATCACAAGTGTTAACAGCAGAATCTACCAAACTGAGGGAAGAATCTCAGAGTTTGAAAACTGGCTGTCCAAAACAACTTAGAAAAAAATAAAAAATCATAAAGAAGAATGAGCAAAACAATCAAGAAATATGGGACCTATTCATAATCTGAATTCTATTTTTGTTATTTCAGCCATTTCAGCCTGGTTAAGAACCATTGCTGGGGAACTAGTGAGATCATTTGGAGTTAAGAAGACACTCTGGCTTTTTGAGTTGTTAGAGTTCCCCTGCTGTTTTTTTTCTCATCTGTGTGGGTTGATATTCCTTCAGTCTTTAAAGCTGCTGTCTTTGGATGGGTTTTTATATTTTGTTTTTATTTTCTTTGATGTTCTTGGGAACTTGATTTGGTATAAGGTGGTTTTAGTTGACTGGCTTTGTTTCTGGTAGATTTTTGTACTCCTTGGCTTAGCTTAGTACTCCTTGGCTGTGTGCTGTAACTCTAGGGGGCTGGTATCAGGCCCCTGGCTTTGTTCTTTCACCCCTCAAGGTGCTGTTGTACTGGAAAGGCCAAGGTCTTCCCATAACACTGCTCATAACACTCTGAAGGGTAGTGCCAGCCAAAGCAGTTTTTCAGGCAATGGCAGTGGGATCCATGCTCATGTGCTCGTTTTCTTGTGCCAACGGCAGTGGCAGCACAGCAAGGTGCATGATCATTCATGCCAGCAGCAATCATGGTGCAGGGTGGGGGGCAGAGACACTGGCATCCCTGTACATGTTAGTGCCAGCAATGGCAGTATGGTGGTGCCATGTTGGGGCAATGAGTGTGCTCATGCCAACAGCAATGTCAGGGCACGGTGTATGCCCACCCTTACACCAGAAGGAGAGGCATAATCCACCCATGCATAGCACGCCAACAAAGTGATGAAGGATTGGCCACGGGTGAGTATGTGCCAGCAAAGTGGCACAAGGGAGGCTGTGGTGTGGGGAGGGCAAAGGTGGGTTTGTATGTTTTGGCAGGGGCCACTCTGCTGGAGTTCTCCAATGGTCAGGCATGGCCTGCCAGCATAGGAGCTATAATGGAGATCCCCAGGCGGCATTCTAGTTGGGCATCCAAGGCACCACTGAAAGCAGGAAGAGCCAGGCTGGAGCCTCAGGAGAGGCAAGCAGACAAAAGAGCCTTCAGATCAGACTGTAATTATTTCATGGGAAAGATTGCCCTGCTCTGTTCAAATCCAACATTTCCCCTAAGGCTGGAGTCTCCTACGAGAGAGGGAGAAGCCTTGAGGGATGGGTGTCTCTAACCTTACTCACCTGCAGACATTTCCATACTAAACCCTCTGGGCTCTGTATATGCTGGAGTCCTGCCCCTACCACCCCTCTAAATAGCTCTCCCTGTCAGCTTAAGCATCCATGGGGGTCATGGGCCCCCCTGCTGTCAGGATTTCTAAGGTCTGTGGTGAGAGTTGGTCGCTCTTCACCTGCTCGACTCATCCCTTACCCAGGAGTCATTGGAGACCAGGAATGGGTCCCAATGTGTGATAGATTTATGCAGGGTTTCCAGCTTCTCCTACTTCAGCCCAGCCCTTATATCCTCCCTCTGGCCACTCTCAACGTCCTCAATCAGAAGATCTCCTTGGAGTGCACCAGTCTTTCCAGTGCTTCCGTCCCTCAGTGGCAGATGTTCCTCCTAACTTCATCTAGTTGGCAATCTTGCCTGCAGGCCCTGTCAATTCTTAATATAACATATTTAATGACAGGTAAAATCATCTGCAATGTCACTGTGTTATCTACCTAATTAAATAAATCATTTACTTAATTTATAAGTGCCAAATTGATTAAATTACTTTTGGTAGATTAATAGAATTTTTAAGTAAACCATTTTTCAGTATTACATTTTGTTTGGAAATATTAAGAAAACTGACTTCTGAATTATCTCTTCAATTTCAAATTAGTTAATATAGTATGAGAATCTATGCTAAAGTCAGAGTTGTGAAAGGAAAAACACAACCAAAGCCTTAGCTCAAACTTTTGTTATATTTTGCAGTTTGAGGAATGCTCAAAAAGACTTCTTTATGGTGAGTACAAAGCTGAAACATTTTATATGATAGATTGGGGAAGGGCAGTCAAAGTTTGATTTTATTCCGAATATTGTTCACCCTTAAAATTCTTGAAACACATGGGAGAAACCAAGGTTGTGTTAATTACAGTACTAGAAGGATCATGATCAAGACTGAGACTGTAATTTAGCCTATAAAGAATAATTGAATATTTGCTGAATAAGTAAGTAGCCTTTAGTTACCCAACTGGAGTTTAGCAAGAAGGTTGGTAGAAAGTTAAGGGCTAAGATCTTTGCAGTGTCACCGGAAAACTATCCCTCCATCAGCATATTTCAAAAATATGATTCAATTATTTTCTTTCTATAATATTAATTTCATTGTTTTTGAGGAAAAGAATCAAGTCCTGCTTAAAGTGCATCATCTCTTCTGTGCTGAATTACCAATAATCAACAGCAGCTTTAGCAGTTTCCTATATGGATCTGAATTAAAATTTGTACATTACAATATCTCTCACAAAATTTGGAAAGAAGATATTCACTCAAGAGGCTGTGGGAAGCAGATACCGCAACTGAGCATTCCGGCAATCTCTAGCTTTACTGCTACAGGCTGAGACAGTTGATTGTTATCCTTTCCAAGGCAATTTCCTGGCAACAGTTTTAGAACTACAGTTGGCCCTTGAACAATACAGGATGAACTGGATGTATCGACTTACACTCAGATTATCTTTCCCCTCTGCCACTCATGAGATGGCAAGACCAACTCCTTCTCTTCCTCCTCTTCCTCAGCCTACTTAACATTAAAATGACAAGAACGGAGGGCTTTTTGATGATCCACTTCCACTTAATAAATAGTAAATGTATTTTCTCTTCCTCATAATTTTCTTAGTAACATTTACTTTTCTCTAACTTACTGTATTGTAAGAGTACAGTATATAATACATAAACAACATATGTGTTAATCGACAGTTTCTGTTATTGGTAAGACTTCCAGTCAGCAGTAGGCTATTAATAGTTACATTTTGGGGGAGTAAAAAGTTATATGCAGATTTTTATTTGCATAGAGTTTGGCACTTCCAACTCTTGCATTGTTCAAGGGTCACCTACACTTGCTACAGGGCACCTGGCTGCTCCAGTGACTTTTCAACTGACTTAACAGCTGCAGCCTTCCCTACCGACCTTCACTTTCATCACTTTTCCAAATATTGTATAAGCCCTAATTTCTGTATTTAACCTGTTTATTCCGATAATACTTAAGATGGCTCTGTTATTCTGAGCAACCCAAAATGATACACTTGGACACAAACATGAAATCAACCCTGTATATTAGAACCCTTTTCAATACATGCTACCTGTGTAATGTATCTTTTAAAGTAGGGCTGCCACAATATCCAGAACAACCCAACCAAATCCAGAAAACTGTAAAACCAAAAAGTCCTTTTTCCGAAGTTAACGACTTCATCTATCTAATGATAAAACTTTGTTTACTCATATTTAAGGCTGCTTGTACTGATAGGACTCAATATTGCTATCAATCTAGCATGTTAACATAAATAAAACATCTAGAACTGACTTCTCTCTGTTAAGATCATACCACTGTAATGGGTTTTAAGAACTTGTATTTGCATGCAGCCTTAAATACTTTCCCCAAAGAGAGAAAGGTCTTTATCTTTTGGATGATAATATCTTAAAATTAATGTTTAAAATTATAAGGAGACAGAAAAACAGCAATGCACCATTTTTGAAAACTGAGGCTGATCTTTATTATATTCAGTTATTTTTTTAGCCTCTACCATAATCAGTTTGAGGGCAAAGACCCAGCCTTATTCACCCATATAATCCCCTTCAGCCTACCCAATTGTAATTTATAGAATAGCATTTTGTACATAAACAATTGTTCTGTGAGTATTTATGAGAAATTTTTTAATGTGATGTCAAGAAGAAGAAGAAAGCAAAAGCTTAGCAGAATACCAAAATGAGGGTATGGCAAAATTTAGAAGAGATCTTCACTCACAGAATTACTATCAAAGTTCAACAAATGGACACACAATACATGTTTTTCAATAAAAAGGAGGCCAAGAGTAAGTTTCCTTCTTATAACAGACAAACTCACATATATATTCATATACACATCTGTATGTTAAAAATATGTATTTACTTTTTCTCATTTGACAATGTGATTCTATGAGTATTATTACTTTTGATGCTTATGATAATGTTATGTGGGAGAGATAACCTTCTTATACAATCATATCCTACTAACATAATTTAGTAAGAAGAAAGCCTTTGTTTTATATTCCAAAGAAAATTGCTTCCTTCATTCATTGTAACTTTATACATACACACACACACACATACACACACACACACACACACACACACACACACACACACACACACACACATATATATATATATATTTTTTTTTTTTTTTTTTTGTGAGACAAAGTCTCACTTTGTCCCCCAGGCTGGAGTGCAATGGCAGGATCTTGGCTCACTGCAACCTCTACCTCCTGAGTTCAAGCGATTCTCCTGCCTCAGCTTCCCGAGTAGCTGGGATTACAGGCACCTGCCACCACACCCAGCTAATTTTTGTATTTTTAGTAGAGACGGGGTTTCACCATGTTGGCCAGGCTGGTCTCGAACTCCTGACCTCAGGTGATCTGCCCGCCTTGGCCTCACAAAGTGCTGGGATTACAGGCATGAGCCACTGTGCCCGGCCATTGTAACTTTATATTTTACAGAGACTTTTATCATAAATTTTTCAGAATTTCATTTAACTGTATTCATTATTACATGTCTTTGCTTTTCCACCTCATGTTTCTTGGATATAGAAAATGAGCCTCAAAAATACATATTTCATATCCTGAGGCTTTGCTGTAGTTGCTTATCAGCTTAAGGAGATTTTGGGCTGAGATGATTGGGTTTTCTAAATATACAATCATGTCATCTGCAAACAGAGACAATTTGACTTCCTCCCTTTCTATTTGAATACCCTTTATTTCTTTCTCTTGCCTGATTGCCCTGGCCAGAACTTCCAATACTATGTTGAATAGACATGGTGAGAGAGGGCATCCTTGTCTTGTGCCAGTTTCCAAAGGGAATGCTTCCAGCTTTTGCCCATTCAGTGTGATATTGGCTATGGGTTTGTCATAAATAGCTCTCGTTATTTTGAGATACATTCCATTAATAGCTAGTTTACTGAGAGTTTTTAGCATGAAGTGGTGTTGAATTTTATCAAAGGCCTTTTCTACATCTATTGCAATAATCATGTGGTTTTTGTCATTGGTTCTGTTTATGTGATAGATTATGTTTATTGATTTGCATATGTTGAACCAGCCTTGTATCCCAGGGATGAAGCCAGCTTGATCATGGTGGATAAGCTTTTTGATGTACTGCTGGATTTGGTTTGCCAGTATTTTATTGAGGATTTTCACATCAATGTTCATCAGGGATATTGGCCTGAAATTTTCTTTTTTTGTTGTGTCTCTGCCAGGTTTTGGTATCAGGATGACATTGGCCTCATAAAAGTTAGGGAGGATTCCCTCTTTTTCTATTGTTTGCAATAGTTTCAGAAGGAAAGGTACCAGCTTCTTTTTGTACCTCTGGTAGAATTCGGCTGTAAATCCATCTAGTCCTGGGTTTTTTTTTGGTTGGTAGGCTATTAATTACTGCCTCAATTTCAGACCTTTTTATTGGTCTATTCAGAGATTCAACTTCTTCCTGGTTTAGTCTTGGGAGGGTGTTTGTGTCCAAAAATGTATCCATTTCTTCTAGATTTTCTACTTTATTTGCTTAGAGGTGTTTATAGTATTCTCTGATAGTAGTTTGTATTTCTGTGGGATCAGTGGTGATATCCCCTTTATCATTTTTTATTGTGTTTATTTGATTCTTCTCCTTTTCTTCTTTATTAGTCTGGCTAGCAGTCTATCTATTTTGTTAATCTTTTCCCAGCTCCTAGATTCAGTGATTTTTTAAAAGGGTTTTTCATGTCTCTATCTCCTTCAATTCTGCTCTGATCTTAGTTATTTCTTATCTTCTGCTTGCTTTTGAAATTGCTCTTGCTTCTCTAGTTCTTTTAACTGTGATGTTAGGGTGTTGATTTTAGATCTTCCCCCCTTTCTCCTGTGGGTATTCAGTGCTATAAATTTCCCTCTAAATACTGCTTTAGCTGTGTCTCAGAGATTCTGGTATGTTGTGTCTTTGTTCTCTTTGGTATCAAAGAACTTATATATTTCTGCCTTAATTCTGTTATTTACCCAAAGGGCTAATACCCACAATCTACAAAGAACTTAAACAAATTTACAGTAAAAAAAACACACAACCCTATCAAAAAGTGGGCAAAGGATATGAACAGACACTTCTCAAAGGAAGACATTTATACGGCCTACAAACATTTGAAAAAAAGCTCATCATCACTGGTCATTAGAGAAATGCAAATCAAAACCACAATGAGATACCATCTCATGCCAGTTAGAATGGTGATCATTAAAAAGTCAGGAAACAACTTTTTCAAGTCAGGAAACGTTAAAAAGTCAGGAAAAAACTTTAAAAAGTCATGAAACAACTTCAAAAAGTCAGGAAACATCCTGGAGAGGATGTGGAGATATAAAAACAGTTTTACACTCTTGGTGGGAGTGTAAATTAGTTCAACCATTGTGGAAGACAGTGTGATGATTCCTCAAGGATATAGAACGAGAAATACCAATTGACCCAACAATCCCATTACTAAGTATATACATAACCAAAGGATTGTAAGTCATTCTACTATAATGACACATGCTCACGTATATTTACTGCAGCACTTTTCACAATAGCAAAGCCTTGGAACCAACCCAATGGCCCATCAATGATAGACTGGATAAAGAAAATGTGGCACATATACACCATGGAATACTATGCAGCCATTAAAAAGGATGAGATTATGTCATTTGCAGGGACATGGATAAAGCTGGAAACCATCATTCTCAGGAAACTAACAAAGGAACAGAAAAAAAAAACACTGCATGTTGTCACTCATAAGTAGGAGTTGAGCAATGAGAACACGTGGACACAGGGAGGGGAATATCACAGACTGGGGCCTATTGGGGGCTGGTGGGCTGGGGGAGGGATAGCATTAGGAGAAACATCTATTGTAGATGACAGGTTGATGGGTACAGCAAACCACTATGTCATGTGTATAGCTATGTAACAAACCTGCACGTTCTGCACATGTATCCCAGAACCTAAAGTATAATAAAGATAAATAAATAAATAAATAAATAAATAAATTTAAAAACAATTATGAGAATTGGAAAATTGAATGCTTATACTACTAGAGATGCTTTCACTACTGACACTGAATGATAAACATACTACAGCCACTACAAAGGAACAGCTAAATATGAAAAAAAATTAAATTTGATAAATTAGCCTTATTTAAAATAAACTTTGGCTGGTTGCGGTGGATCACGCTTGTAATTCCAGCACTTTGGGAGGCCGAGGCAAGCAGATCACTCGAGCCCAGGAGTTCGAGACCAGCCTGGGCAATGTGGCAAAACCCCGTGTCTACTCAAAATAGAAAAATTATCCAGGGGTGGTTGTGCACACCTGTACTCCCAGCTATTCAGAAGGCTGAGGTGGGCAGATCCCTTGAGCCCAGGAGGTCCAAGCTGCAGTTAGTCATAATCTCACTACTGCACTTCAGCCTGGGAGACAGAGGACACTCTTTCTCAAAAAGAAAAAACAAACCCAAACCCCAAAACTTTACTGTTAGCAAAATTTCTGATTTTTATAGCTAATTTATAGCTATAAATGTATAGATGTTTGTTTTGGCCATTATATATAGTGCTTACAAAGCTACTGAAAGGAATTAGAAAGTTTATTGTATGCTTTCCAATTGTATGCATAATACACCTGTTCCTCAAAGTATATTAACTGATTTCTCCAAAAGGCCAATTATCGAATATTCTAATATTTGAGGCAGACTGAATATGGATTCAGGGTTATTATAAGTGTAGAGATTTATGTGCATCACAGGTAGATAAAGACATGATGAAGTTAAAGTTTTTATTGCCAAGAAATACATATTTTCTAGGTCTATTCAGAAAATTAGCTGCATATGTGTGAAACTGTTATCATCTGCTTTCCATTTTTCCATCTGGGTCAAAGGATAGTGTCCGTCAAATCTCTTGCTCAAACATAATGCACTATAATTTGCTGTTCTCTATATATACTAGTCTAAAATTCTATTAAAATAGATATTTGGTTGGGCCAGATATTCATTCATTCATTTACTCATTCAATGATAATTTCTAAAGATACACAATGATTTATTATTAGTGAATGTGTGCTGGAATTTAGTGACCGTCATTTTCTAAGTGCTCGCAAGGCGTCAGTTCTGTAAGCATTCCATAATTTTGCTAGTCTATGATTTTTGGAATTTAATGTTGAGCTTTTAAAATCTCCAATAATGTTTTCTCTATTTTGTTTTTGATTGTTGAACAGAATATTTTGTCCTGTGAGCAAGCAACTATGACTAAGCATAAAATATATAGTCAGAATTTGTCATAATTTTAATATATTCAACAAATAAAAATTAATTTTTACTTTAAAAATAAATATATACATATATTTTTCAAAATTACTAGTTCATTGCATTTTGAATAAATGGTGGAATGTTTATTGAATAAATAAATGAATAGAATAATTATTTTTTTCTTATGTGAGGCTAAAGTCAATAGTATCAGCTTAGTATGCAGAACAGCCATGGGTATAAAAACAGAAAGTTTAGATAGCGTGCTCTATAGACATATTATAAATTAAAAGGAAGATAAAGGGTGATTAATATAGATAAGTATAACAACAGATATGTAATATTACTCCGGGTATAGATTAGACAACATGCTTCTATTTATACTTTTTTACATATTCCATATGTATTTTGCCTTTATTAAAATCCAAGATATTTTCTCTTTTATACCTAGTAGTATATAAGAGATTTTGACTGGGGACAGAACTGGGAGGAAAAGGAGAGAAATATGGGAAAGATGGTGGTGTGTCTGTTTCCTTTGTGGCACTATGGGTTAAATCTGAGCAGCTAAGATTAGGGAATGAAGGCTCCAGGCTCTCAGGATTCCATAAGGAAGACTATATAAGTTTCCAGATATGGTATTCAAGTAACTACATGTGATAGCGGGTTGGCAAGAAGCCTTTCGCTTATTAGAGAACTTCTTATTATTCTGACTCTCCAGGGAAGAAATGCCCTCAGAGCATTGAGAGAAACTTTCCTGGTAGCATTTCAGAATAGTGAGTGACTGTGGTAAATTTCCTGTTAGCAACTAGAGAAGCAGGTGCAGGGAAGTAAGAGTAATACCTGAGTAACACAGCTTGGAGACTGAAGTTTATAAGTTCACAAATGGGCATGAGTGAAGAGCTCCTCTGAGACACTAGAAATAAGTACACAATGCTGTGAAGGGGAGAGCTTGCTCACCATTTCATAGGTCATTGCTATCAAACAAAGAGTCATTTGAGTGGACAAGTAATGGAGTTGCCAAGCAATTTGGAGGACCCAACAGAAATTGAAAACCATAAATCTGCCCTGCCTGGCAGAGTTATGTAGTTTTGCCAGCAAAGCTCAGGAGAGGGAAAAAGCTATTGATTAGAGAGATCCAGTTTGGAAATGGGTTTAAATGAAAGCATCACAGAGCAGGAGAAGAAGGGAATTGAAGATGAGTGTGGGCTGAAATTGCTAGACATGATGATGAATTTTGTTAGAAATGTAAAGTCAAGAATCAAATGATAATTTAAAAATATATGGAGGAATTTAAAGTCTGAAGTGAATAAAAAATATATTTATCAGGGATAAGTGTTTGTTATCAGATAGAGGAATTTCATATTAATGGTTTAGAATGCATTTCCATTCAGGGAGATAATAAATCCTGAATGAAGCCTCAGGCATGGAGTACTAAAGAAAAATAAAGTGAAAGTTGTTGTCATAGAAAAATATTATGAAATTGTGAGGAAACTAAAGTTACTCAGGACAAAGTAAGAGTGAAAATAGAATAAAACAAAGTCAGAAGCTACATTCTCCTCAAAATGCTGGAATATGTATGCAATGAGAAGATGTATTGATTGAGAAAAATTAGCCTTGACTGTTGTAAAGCCATTCTAAAATCTCATTCATTATACCAATAAAACTTTATTATTTTATTTATATTATTTTAATTAACAAATCATAATTGTATTACATTTATGAAGCACAATGTAATATTTTAATAGAGTATAAAATGTGAAAAGATTTAACCAAGCTAATTAACATAGCTATTACCTCACTTACTTGCTTTGCTGGGTGGGACCTCCCAGCCAGGCCCTCTAGCCACGCGCCCCGACCTTCACATATTACTGACAGAGCTCTGATGTCTCCAAGGGATGGAGTGCCTGCGGGACAGGAGGACTGCCACCTGGGTTGATTGGACCACTCAGCCATTCCAGCCTGTGAGCATTGGACTGTCCAAGCAGACAGGGGCAGAGGAGGTTCCCCACCATGACACAACTGTTTTGTCAGGCATGTCCAGACTGTTTCTTTAAGCATGACACAGATCCACTTTTCCTCTTGGGGCTGTTCTCCCAGCCGGCGCCTTCAGCCACCCCCACCCATGTTCTACAGGGACAACAGAGCTCTAATTTCTCCCTGGGACGGAGTGACTGATGGGCCAGGCAGGCTGCCGCCTTAGCCATTCAGGTTTCTCAGCCGGTCCAGCCTGTGGGTCTTGGAGAGCCCAAATCAACTGAAGGCTAAAGGGATCCCCAACACAACACAGCTGCTCTACCGCAGCCAGACTGCTGCTTTAAGCAGTTCCCTGATTCTGTTCCTCCTGACTGGGTGATACCTCATAACTGGGTTCTCCAGACACCTCCTACAGGTGCCTTCAGGCCTGCAATAGGTCAGTACTCCCCTGGGATGGAGCTTCTAGAGGAAGGGGCAGGATGCCATCCTTGCTGTTTCACAGCTTTCACAGCCTTCACTGGTGATACCTCCAGGTACAAGAAAAACCAAGGCAACTAGGGTCTGGAGCAGACCCCGAGCAAACTACAGCCACCCTGTGGAAGTGTGGCCAGACTGTTGAAAGACAAACTAACAGACAGAAAGCACAACCACCACCAATACGACCCCACAAAAACTCACCAAATGTCAGCAGCCTCAAAGATTAAAGTTAAATATGCCCAAAGATGAGAAAAAATAAACATAAAAATGCTGAAAACTCAAAAAGCCAGAGTGCCCCTTTTCCTACAAAACTGAAACACCCTTACAGAAAGGGCTCAAAACTGGGCTAAGGCTGAGATGGCTGAAATGGCAGAAGTAGGCTTCAGAAAGTGGATAATAATGAACTTCGCTGAGCTAAAGAAACACGTTGTAAACCAGTGTAAAGAAGCTAAGAATTATAAAGCAATACAGGAGTTGAAGCCAAAATAGCCAGTTTAGAGAGGAACACAACTACCTTGTTAGAGATGAAGAAACAAAAACAAAACAAAAAATACTACAAGAACTTCACAATGCAATCACAAGTGTTAATAGCAGAATAGACCAAACAGAGGAAAGAATCACAAGCTTAAATAGTATCTTTCTGAAATAAAAGAGGCAGACAAGATTAGAGAAAAAAATAATGAAAAAGAATGAACACAACTTCTGAGAAATATGGGATTATGTAAAAAGACTGAATCTACAACTGATTGGAGTACCTGGAAGGGATGGGGAGAATGGAACCAAGTTGGAAAACATACTTAGGGTATCGTCACGGAGAACTTCCCCAACCTAGCAAGCCAGAACAACATTCAATTTCAGGGAATGCAGAGAATACTGGTAAGATACTTCATGATAAAATCATCCCTAAGACATGTAATCATCAAATTCTCCAAGGTCAAAATGCAAGAAACTCTAAGGGCAGCCAGAGAGAAAGGCCAGGACACCTGCAAAGGGAAGCTCATCAGGCTAACGGTGGCCTCTCAGGGGAAACACTACAAGCCAGAAGAGACTGGAGGCATTTCAACATTCTTAAAGAAAAGATTTTTCAACCCAGAATTTCATATCTGGCCAAACTAAGCTTCATAAGTAAAGGAGAAATAAGATCCTTTTTAGACAAGCAAATGCTGAGGAAATTCAATACCACCAAACCTGCCTTGAAATAGCTTCTGAAGGAAGCAGTAAATATGGAAAGGAAAAACCATTACCAGCCACTACAAAAACACAGACCAGTGACATTATGAAGCAACCGCATAAAAAGTCTGAAAAATAACCAGCTAGCAACATCATGACAAGATCAAATCTACACATAACAATACTAACCTTAAATGTAAATAAGCTAAATCCCTCTACTAAAAGACAGAGAATGGCAAGTTGGAAAGGGAACCAAGACCCATCAGTATGCTGTCTTCAAAAGACCCTTCTCACATGCAAAGACACACATAGGCAAAAAAAAAAAAAAAAATGGAGGAAAACTTACCAAGCAAATGGAAATCAGAAAAAGCAGATGTTGCAATCATTGATTCTGACAAAACAGACTTTAAACCAGCCAAGATCAAAAAAGACAGAAAAAGGGGCATTACATAATGGTAAAGGGTTAAATTCAACAAGAGGAGCTGACTATTCTAAATATATATGCAACCAATACTGGAGCACCCATATTCATAAAGCAAATTCTTAGAGACCTTAAAAGAGACTTACACCCCTCACAATAAGAGTGGGAGATTTTAACACCCCACTGACAATATTAGACAGATCATCAAGATGGAAAATTAACAAAGATATTCAGGACACGAACTCAGCTCTGGATCAAGTGGACCTGATCAATATTTACACAATTTTCCTCCCCAAAACAACAGAATATACATTCTTCTCTTTGCCACATGGATCCTACTCTATAATTGATCACATAATCAGAAGTCAAAGACTTCTCAACAACTCAACAAAATGAAAAGAAATGAAATTATGTAAACAGTTGCTCAGACCACATCACAGTCAAGTTAGAACTCAAGATTAAGAAATTCACTCAAAGCCACACAACTACATTAGAAATCTGCTCCTGAGTGACTCTTGGGTAAATAATGTAATTAATGCAGAAATTGAGAAGTTGTTTGAAACTAATGAGAACAAAGATACAAAGTACCAGAATCTCTGGGATGCAGTTAAACCCGTGTTAAGAGGGAAATTTATAGCACTATATGCACACATAAAAAAGCTAGAAAGATCTCAAGTTAACAACCTAACATCACAACTAAAGAAACTAGAGAACGAAGAGCAAACAAACCCCAAAACTAGCAAAGACAAGAAATAACCAAGATCAGAGCTGAACTGAAGGAGATAGAGACACACACACACAAAAAACCTTCAAAAAAATCAATGAATGCATGCATTAGTCTGTTTTCATGGCAGTGATAAAGATATACCCAAAACTGGGTAATTTATTAAAAAAAAAAGGTTTAAAAACTCACAGTTCCACATGGCTGGGAAGGCCTCACAATCATGGCAGAGGCAAACAGCATGTCTTACATGGTGGCAGGCAAGAGAGAATAAGAACCAAGCAAAAGGGAAAACCCCTTATAAAAACATCAGATCTTCTGTGAGACGTATTCTCTACCACAAGAACAGTATGGGGGAAACTAACCACATGATTCCATTATCTGCCACTGGGTCCCTCCCACAACACATGGGAATTATGGGGGCTAAAATTCAAGATGATATTTGGGTAGGGACAGAGCCAAACCATATCAATCCAGGAGCTTTTTTTTTCTTGAATAAAAAAATACATAGATCACTAGCGAGACTAATAAAGAACAAAAGAGAAGATTCAAATAAACACAATTAGAAATGATAAGGGGGATAGCATCACTGACCCCACCGAAATACAAATAAACATTAGAGAATGTTACAAAGACCTCTGTGCAAATAAACTAGAAAATATAGAAGAAATAGGTACATTCCTGGACACATACACCCTCACAAAACTGAGCCAGCAAAAATTGAATTCCTGAATAGATCAATAACAAGTTCTGAAATTGAGGCAATAATAAGTAGCCTACCAACAAAAACATTGCCCAGGACCAGACAGATTCACAGCTGAATTCTAACACAGGTACAAAGAAAAGCTGGTACCATTTCTACTGAAACTATTCCAAAAAATTTAGTAGGAGGTACTCCTTCCTAACCGATTCTATGAGGCCAGCATACTCCTGATAACAAAACCTGGCAGAGATACAGCAAAAAACAAAACTTCAGGTCAATATACTTGACAAACATAGATGTAAAAATTCTCAATAAAATACTGGCAAACCAAATCCAGCAGCACATCAAAAAGCTTATTTGCCATGATCAGGTAGGCCTCATCCCTGAGAAGCAAGGCTGTTTCAGCATATGCAAATCAATAAATGTGATTCATCAAATAAACAGAGCTAAAGACAAAAAACATGATTATCTCAATAGACACATAAAAGGCCTTCAATAAAATTCAACATCTCTTCATTTTAAAAATGCTCAATAAGATAGGTGTTGAAAGAACATACCTCAAAATAAAAAGAGCCATATATGACAGACCCACAGCCAATATCATACTGCATGGGCAAAAGCTTGAAGCATTCACCTGGAAAACTGGCACAAGAAAAAACGCCTGCACTCACCAATCCTATTCACCATTGTATTGGAAGTTCTGGCCAGGGCAATCAGGCAAGAGAGAGAAATAAAGGGTATTCAAATGGAAAGAGAGAAAGTAAAACTATCTTTGTTTGAAGATGACATGATCCTATATCTAGAAAGCCCCATTGTCTCAGCCGAAAAGCTTTTTAAACTGATAAGCAACTTCAGGAAATTCTCAGGATATAAAATCAATGTGCAAAAACTGCTAGCATTCTGATACACCAAGGACAGGCAAGCCAAGAGCCAAATCACAAATTAACTCTCATTCACAATTGCCACAAAAAGAATAAAATCCTAGGAATATAGTTAACCAGGGAAGTGAAGGACCTCTTCAAGAAGAACTACAAAACACTGCCTAAAAAATCAGAGAGTACACAAACAAATAGACAAACATTTCATGCTCATGGATTGGAAGAATCTATACTATGAAAATGGGCATACTGCCCAAAGCAATTTATAGATTCAATGCTATTCCCATTGAAGTACCATTGACATTCTTCAAGGAATTCGAAAAAAATTATTTTAAAACTCAAATAAAACCAAAAAAGAGCTCAAGTAGCCAAGACAATCCTAAGCAAAAAGAGCAAAGATGGAGGCATCTTGCTACCTAACTTCGAACTACACTACAAGGCTACAGTAACCAAAACAGCATGGTACTGGTACAAGAACAGACACATAGACTAATGGAACAACATAGAGAACCCAGGAATAAGACTACACACCTACAACCATCTGTTCTTCAACAAACCTGACAAAAACAAATAATGAGGAAAGAATTCCCTATTTAATAAATGGTGCTGAGAGAACTGGCTAGCCATATGCAGACAATAGAAACCAGACCCCTTCCATATGTCTTATACAAAAACTAACTCAAGATGGATTAAATACTTAAATATAAAACCCCAAAACATAAAAACCCTAGAAGAAAATCAAGGAAATATCATTCAGGACATAGGCCTGGGCAAAGATTTTATGACAAAGACACCAAAAGCAACTGCAACAAAAGCAGAAAATTGACAAATAGGATCTAATTAAACTAAGGAGCTTCTGTACAGCAAAAAAAGTACTATCATCAGAGTGAACAGACAACCTACAGAATATAAGAAAATTTTTGCAATATATCCATCTGGCACAAGTCTAATATCCAGTATCTACAAGGAATTTAAACAAATTTACAAGAATAAAACAGACAACCCCTTTGAAAAGTGGGCAAAGAACATCAACAGACACTTCTCAAAAAAAAAGACACACATGTAGCCAATAAACATACAAAAAAAGCTCAACATCACTGATCACTAGGGAAATGCAAATCAAAACCACAATGAGATACCATCTCATACCAATCAGAATGGCTATTATTAAGAAATGAAAGAACAACAGATGTTGGTGAGGTTGCAGAGAAAAATGAACGTTTTTATGCTGTTGGTGGGAATGCAAATTAGTTCAACGATTGTGGAAGACAGTGTGGCAAATCCTCAAAGACATAGAGGCAGAAATACCATTTGACACAGCAATCCATTACTGGATATATACCCAATATAATATAAATTATTCTATTATGAAGATACATGGACACATATGTTCATGGTAGCACTATTCACAATAGCAAAGACATGCAATCAACCTGAATGCCCATTAATGATAGATTTGATAAAGAAAATGTGGTACATATACACCATGGAATACTATGCAGCCATAAATAGAAATAAGATCACGTCCTTTTCAGGAACATAGATGGAACTGAAAGCTGTTATTGTCAGCAAACTAATGCAAAAACAGAAAATCAAACATTGCATGTTCTCACTTATAAGTGGGAGCTGAATGATGAGAAACATGAACACATGGCTGGGGAACAACACACTGGGGCCTTTTGGAGAGTGAGGGATGAGAAGAGGAAGAGCATCAGGAAGAATAGCTAATGGATGCTGGGCTTAATACTTACGTGATAAGATGATCTGTGCAGCAAACCACCATGGGACATGTTTACCTATGTAAAAAATCTGCACATTATGCATACATTTCCCCAAACTTAAAATAAATGTTGGAAATCAAAAAAACAAAATAAAATAAAATAAGATAAAATAAAATAAAAAAGAATGTTGTGAAAAGGTTGTCATGGGAACAAAGTTTATTCAGGCTGAGAGGTTTGAGCATCCTTTGTGAAAATAATGAAGATAGATCAAAGTTGTATAAGACATGGTCCTAAAAGTAAGTGTATGAGTTGGATGAGGGAGGATACTGTGAAAGTGTAGGTCAGCTGGATATTGACTTGGATGGAATAGATAAAGAATGGCTTTTACCAATGAAAACCATCAGATAGCATGGAAATGGAAAGAACAGGCTAATGGGGAAAGATAAGTGGCACATTTGCAAATAATTTCATAAAATTTGAGTGAAAAATTACACATCAATATTCCTGCCACCAAATGTCTCTATACCTGCCTACAGCAACACAGAGTAAAATGAAATCTAACAGACATCATCCATAGTTGTGTGATGGGACTGATTTTTAGACTAAAAAAGTAAAACCATGTAACATATACATTTTAATTTGGCAGCTATTTTCATGCTAGTGTAATAATTATTTTAGTCTCCTCCATCTTTACTCTTCACTCATTTATTAAAATCATAAACTTTATTTGGTCCTTTGCTATCTACTTGCCAATGACAGAGAAATAAAAACTCAACTTCGCAATTCCTGATGTCAACATGCTTAAAAGGTAGTGGAGATGATATACTATCAGGATCTGCTTTGAGGTGCCACAAGTGGGATAGGTATGCTCATGGGCACAAAAATATGACCAGGTCAAAAAAAGCTTTTCTGAGATGACACTTACACCGATTGGAAAAATAAAGATAGCAACCACAATAAGGTAGCTTATTTAATTGGCCAAGAAATGAAGTGTGTGTGTGCGTGTTTGTGTGTGTGTGTGGGTGTGTATGATGACTACTACCACAGTAGCCCACCCCCTTACCTTCAGGGAATACATTCCAAGAACCCCAGTGGATACATGAAACCGCAGATATTCTTGAACCTTATATACACCACGCTTTTTCCTATACATACACACTTATGATAAAGTTTAACTACAACTTTGTCACAATGACTGATTAACAAGAATAACAATAAAATAGAACAATTATAACAATATACTATAATGAAAGTTAGACAAATATGAACCATCTTTCTCTTGCTCTCTTTCTTTCAAAATATCTTACTATATTGTACCCAACATTTTTTGGACAGTAGTTGACCTCCAATAACTGAAACTGCAGAAAGCAAAATCATAGATAAGTCAGGACTCCTATATTTCAGATAAAGAAAATAGCATTGAAGAATTCTATGCACTCCCCAATAATAGTGCTTTCCAGAGATGGATGAAGAGTTTAGTGAAGATGAGGAAGCATCCGAGGGACTGGCAGGAGACAAGACTACAGGAGTTGGAGTTGGTGTCACTTGATGAAGCACCTTTTGCTCCATGTGAAAGGTTTACACATATGGAGTGTCAATGAAAAACTGTAGGCAGAAAAATAGCTACATGAGATTTATGGTTTGGAAAAATTGTTCTCCTTATTACATGGAGAGTGGGTTTTAGAAAATAAAGAACACAGGTGAAATTCATAAAGTTGTTCCAGTGATTCAGCTATAAACTGATGAAGCTTGACCTAGGGTAATATGAGAGAGAAAGGAGAGAAATAGACACTAGACATTGATAATGTAGAATTTTAGCTCCACGTGTCTGTCTGAATGTAGGAGGTAATGAAAGCATGACCTCGAGGAGTGATATGGGTGGGAAGGATGGTTTTACTTTCTGAAACATGGAAAACAGGAAGAAAAACAACCATGATTTGACCTTTAGATGTAGCGCTCAGGGAAGATGTCTTGTTTGGAATCTATTTATTTTCTCAAAGTATTACTTGAACATCTATGATGAGCTTTACATAAAAAGCAGAAAAAAATCTGTAAAAAATCTAATATTTGCTTATTCTTTGCTCTGGTATTTCTTTATTATTTTAATGATTTCACGGAAATTATTGCCATTACTAGCAGTTTAATTTGCACTTACTTCCAGTGACATGAGGTGTAATTTTTCTCATGGAAAAAAGGAATTACTGAAAACTGGAATAATAAAGAGCTTCTAGGTGGTCCTTAGAATCACTTATCTCATGTTAGTGCTTACTATTTTCTTATGAATACCTCCTATATTATTTTCTGTCTGATGGTCTTTTGTCAGGACAGATGTGACTAAAGCAAATACAAAGCAGTGGGCTCTCTTTTTTCAGTACTCTTCCTCAATATTATGTCAGCCAAGCAAGCCTTAATTCTATCATTCTTTGTTCACCTATTTTGACTACATTTAACAAATCAATAATTGTAATTTTCAAAAATTATTTATGTTCATTAAATACAATCAATTGATTTGAAACTTTGGCTCTGCTGATTTTATTTTTGATATCTGTAAACGAGGCACAAATATTATTTTTTCCCTTCTATGTCAATTGGCCATCAGAAATTCCTCATAAGGTCATAAGTGTGAATTGAGGGGAAAGTGGCAATGTAGAAGAAATTGTTGTAAAGGTCTAAGTAACTAGTCCATTAAACTAACTTGTGCCTTTTGGTCCTGCTCAAACGTAATGTATTATAAAGCATTTCCACTTAATGATATGTGTAAGACCCAATGTATGGCTTGGTAGAGTCCATTACATCTATGACATCAGGTCATCTGCTCATTTGGTATTTAGAATTAGGCATTCAATTTCCACCACAGCTTAAAAGAAAACTAGCAGTTGTTGCTTATAAGAATTATCTGAAAAGAAGGTGTCTTTTCTCAAACCTTAGCTGAATTATGGTACTAATATTGGGATATTTCAAAGCCACCAAAGAACATTTCTCTGTTCCACAGAAAATCTGAGTAAAACTGAATAAGTTTGATTGTAATGTTGAAGTGTGAGATATGCCTTATGGCACTCTGGAATTGCGGCAGAGCCTTTGTTGCTGCAGTCTCCACTCACAATTGCAAGTGCCATGGCTTACTTTGTAAATGGGTCAGAATTGCATACTCAAATGTCTCATGTTTTTTCCTTAAATATCCAATTGTTTTTACCAAGATTTTGTAACAGTTTGTCTTTCACCTTGGGAAAAGTGGGACATCATTCTCTATATATTGCTGGATCCCCAGAAACTTCATTGAGATAGCAGGTCCCTGAATTTCCTGGCATTTATCTTCTTTCTAGTCTATATGAGTCTTAACAAACACTCTAAAATACGTGCTAGTTTTTGCTCATTAGGTCCAATCACCTTAATGCCAGCAGCATTACAGACAATAGTAACATTCTGTGGAATGCTAGTGTGATGTTCTGTGTAATGTCTGTCTTGATGGTAGGTATCTTTGTAGTCTGTATTAGTTCATTTCCATGCTGCTGATAAAGACATACACAAGACTGGGCAATTTACAAAAGAAAAAGTTTTAATGGACTTAAAGTTTCATATGGCTGGGGAGGCCTCACAAACATGGCAGGATGCAAGAAGGAGCAAGTCATGTCTTACATGGATGGCAGCAGGCAAAGAGAGAGCTTGTGCAGGGAAACTCCCATTGTAATACCATCAGATCTCATGAGACTTATTTGCTATCATGAGAATAGCATGGGAAAGACCTGCCTCCATGATTCAATTACCTCCCACCAGGTCCCTCCCACAACATGTGAGAATTCAAGATGAGATTTAGGTGGGGACACAGCCAAATCATTTAATTCTGCCCCTGGCCCCTCCTAAATTTCATGTCCTCACATTTCAAAACCAATCACGCCTTCCCAACAGTCCCTCAATGTCTTAACTTGTTTCAGCATTAACTCAAAAGTCCACAGTCCAACATCTCATCTGAGACAAGGCAAGTCCCTTTTGCCTATGAGCCTATAAAATCAAAGCAGATTGATTGATTTATCCAATGCTTGTACCCCACATTGATAGATACAATACAATGTAGATTGTAGATAGATACAATACAATGTATCTATCATTGTGGGGTACAAGCATTGGGTAAATACAGCCATTCCAAAGGGGGAGAAATTGGCCAAAACAAAGGGGCTACGGTCGCATCCAAGTATGAAATCCAGTAGGGCAGTCAACTCTTAAATCTCCAAAATGATCTCTTTTGACTACTTTTCTTACGTCCGGGTCATGCTAATGCAAGAAGTGGGATCCCCTGCTCTTGGGCAGCTCTGCCTATGTGGCTTTGCCAGGTACAGCCTCCTTCCCAGCTGCTTTCATGGGCTGGCATTAAGTGTCTGTCTATTTTCCAGGTGCATGGTGTAAGCTGTAAGTGTATCTACTTTCTGAGGTCTGGAGGATGGTGGCACTCTTCTCATAGCTCCACTAGGCAGTGCCCCGGTAGGGATTCTCTGTGGGGGCTCCAACATCCAAGAGTTTCTATACATCCTCTGAAATCTAAGCAGGGGTTTCCAAACCCCAATTCTTGACTTCTATACACTCACAGGCTCAACACCATGTGGATGCTGCCGAGGCTTGGGGCCTACACCTTCTGAAGCCATGGCCCAAGCTCTATGTTGGCACCTTTCAGCCATGGCTGGAGTGTCTGGGACGCAAGGGACCAAGTCCCTAGACTGAACACAGCACAGGGGCCCAGGGCCCAGCCCATAAAACCATTTTTCCTCCTAGCCTTCTGGGCCTGTGATGGGAGGGGCTTCTCTGAAGACCTCTGACATGCCCTGGAGACATTTCCCCCATTGTCTTGGGGATTAACATTTGGCTTCTTGTTACTTATGCAAATTTCTGCAGCCTGCTTGAATTTCTCCTCCAAAAATTGGATTTTCTGTTCTATCACATTGTTGGACTGCAAATTTTCTGAACATTTATACTCTGCTTCCCATATAAAATTGAATGCCTTTAACAGCACCCAAGTCATCTTTTGAATGCTTTGCTGCTAAGAAATTTCTTCCACCAGACACCCTAAATCATCTTTCTCAACTTCAAAGTTCCACAAATCTATAGGGTAGGGGCAAAATGCTGCCAGGCTGTTTGCTAAAATATAACAAAAGTCATCTTTGCTCCAGTTCCTGATGAGTTCTTGATCTCCATTTGAGACCAACTTAGTCTGTATTTCATTGTACATATCATTATCAGCATTTTGGTCAAAGAAACTCAACAAATCTCTAGAAAGTTCCAAACTTTCCCACAGTTTCCTGCCTTCTTTTGAGCCCTCCAAACTGTTCCAATCTCTGCCTCTTACCCAGTTCCAAATTTGTTCCCACATTTTTGGGTATCTTTTCAGCAACACTGCATTCTACTGGTACCAATTTACTGTATTAGTCCATTTTCACCCTACTAATAAAAGCACACCAAAGATTGGACAATTTTGAAAAGAAAGAAGTTTAATGGACTTACAGTTCCACATGGCTGGGATGCTTCACAATCATGACAGAAGGCAAGGAGGAGCAAGTCACAACTTATATGGATGGCAGCAGTCAGGGAGAGCTTGTGCAGGGAAACTCCCCTTATAATACCATCAGATCTCATGAGACTTATTTGCTATCATAAGAACAGTATGGGAAAGAGCTGCCCCCATGATTCAATTACATCCCACTGGGTCCCTCCCACAACACATGGGAATTCAAGATGCAATTTGGGTGGAGACACAGTGAAACCATATCATAGTCTACTGTGGCACTGATCATAAGATTTGAATGAATCCAAAGGTAAAACTCTAAAGATGTACTGCTATATTTTCCATGTAAAAGTAAATGGTTTTTATTTGTATCTGGCATAGAGAGAGTCCACTCACTAGTATCACAGCTAGATATCAGTAGGTAGGGTCTATGTTGAATTGTTCTCTGAAACAGCAGCAGTAATTGGAATCAGAACATAAATAAATTATACTAACTCGGAGGAATTTTTCAAGATCATTTTCCACACACAAGCCAAATAGGCAAGTTAAATAGAAATATGATAGGCATGACCACTCCAAAATCTTTCAAGTTCTTGATGGAGAAATTAATCTCTGAAATACCATAAGGAATGACATATTCTACTATTTGAGAGGTAGAGTTGAGATAAACTCCATTTATTCCCTTTACCACTATAAGTCTTACTGTGACTGGTTGACTATAGGAGCATCCTGATTCTTCAGGCTTAATGTTATTTCAGAGATAGTGTCAAGTAATTCACAAAAAAATTGATTGTTTTACCTTCTTCATTGATAAGACACCCAGATAAATGGCATCCAGTGCCTTTAGAAAATGCTAGGAGAAAAATGTACAGTTTAAATTTTTGATTGAATAACAGAATATTTTCTCAAGAAGAAAGAGATCTTTCATTTGAGGGGCTCTGGGCTTATGAACAGTTTTATATCTAGAAATTTTGAGACACAATCTCTCTCCATTGCAGTTTAAAAAATTAGACCTATTTTCAAATAATGTAGAGCTTTTCTGCTTACACAAATCAAGTAATAATTTAGTAGAATGGCTATCTCTTCCAGTTCTGGGAATGCTATGATGTATAAGCTCATGACAAAGATATCTAAAAATAAAAACATTCAGATTATGACTTTCAATCTGTATCCAACTATAGTAACTATTCTCACCTTATCTTTAGCATTTAAGTGCCACCACATGGCCCACATAACCCCGGGACCCTAACTTTCTCACTGAATTCAAGAAGCCCAGTCCCCACAATTATTGTGTTGATATTTTTTTCATAGTTCTCTCCTAGAATGTTAGGCCTCCCCTCACCAATGTATTTCTCACAGCTTTGTTGATATATGAGCCGCTATAGTAAGGGCACGTGTTGAACAGCTTACTATGAACTGAATTTTGTTCCTCCAAATTCATATGTTGAAGCCCTAACTCCCAGTGTGAAAGTATTAGAAGGTGGGGTACTTGGGAGGCAATTAGGTTTAGATTAGGTCATGAGGGTGGAGTCCTCATGATGGGATTAGTCTGCTTTTAAAAAGAGACACCAAGGAAATTGCTTCCTCCCTTTCTCTCCATCAGAACACACCAAAAAAAACAAAAGCAAACAAAGACAAACAACAACAACAACAACAACAACAACAAAAAGCCTTGTGATAAGACAGAAACCCAAGGAGAGAGTCCTTACTAGATAACAACCATGCTAGCACCTCGATCCTGGACTTGTCAGGAGTAAAGTGAGAACTAGTTAGGGAAAATTAAGAAGTTTCCAGAATCTCTGATTATTATACCACCTAAACAAACTTGTCCCAATTCAACATATATTATTTCCAACCCAATCCAGCTCTTAGGGGTCTTATGCATTTTCCAGGTTTTGCTATATAAATTAACATCTTGTAATTATTTTTGTCATAATTAGCACCTCTCCCCAGGTCATACTTATACCTGACCCCTTGAAGCCTGTGAGAATTTGAGTTCAGCCTAGAAGTAATGAGAAGTGGTAGTGGTAGGTCCTGAGGATCAACCCGATGCATAAAAACTATGGCAGAGAAAAGATGCTGGGGCAAGAGGAAACTAACCACATTGGA
Source organism: Homo sapiens (assembly GCF_000001405.40). NCBI lineage: Eukaryota > Metazoa > Chordata > Mammalia > Primates > Hominidae > Homo > Homo sapiens. The sequence goes on from NC_000004.12 coordinate 116,576,686, forward strand.
CAGGACATAAGGGCTACTTCTATGGCGAATGCTCATAGAAAACCTTTAAACATTCAAGGTCTTAAGTTTTGTTTGAATTTTGCAATAATTATATGAAAATGAATTCTGAAGCTACAGGTATGGATTAAGGGAGAGTTGACAATGTAGCATCAAATGAACCGGGAAGAAAAATATCGTATCATGCAACCTGCTTGTGCTTCTAATACCTGTTTGAGTTCAAAATTGTATGTACATTTACCATAATGATGACTATGTTTTATGTATTTTTCCTTGTTGGATCAGCTTACACTTACCTAGTGCTTATAAAAGACATCTCTGGTTGCAAAGTCACTTGAAGTTTCATACTCACATTTTCAGTCTCTTGGAGGCTGTTAGTAAGCTAAGGGAATAAGGCATGTCTTTGTATCAAACCACAAAGGAAGGTATAGTTTCCTAATTCAGAATTGCCTCAGCCTTCATGAGGTATTCTTGCCACACATACATTGAATACAATTAAATATGCTTATCTCTAAGGAAAAAGCAGCATATCAACTTCTCTTCCTGCTTAGACCATTTAAGAACCTTTCTCTTTTCCTTTCTTTGGGCCTCACTCTAGATAGTCAGTAAATTCATGGTTCCAGCACTACCTAACGTATTTTCCATACACCTTTCCTTAGTCCAGCATCATCAGAATATGTTTAAACATATATTACCTAAGGATCTTCATCAGGATAAATATGCAAAATCTTATAGTCATTTTCATTCCTAAGCCTTTTTCTCCTGGCTTGATTTTGTAAATGAGCCAATGTGACAAGTTAGATTCTGATTCCAATTGTTGGCAAAGAAGCAATGAGGGTTGGAAGGAATGCAGCATAAGGAAATTTACATTTCTTTACAAAACAACCACTTCTATCAGTGCCAGAACAAGATTTTCTTGAAAATATAACCTCATATCATCCCATATTATGACTTGGACATAAACAAGATTATACCACACATCGAGCATTGAGGTTGTAATTACTGCATGGTGTATGTGTGTAGAAAATAAGTCATGACTTGATATAAAGTATAAATTCTGTTTTAGCACATCCATACTTTCCAAGCAATATCAGAAGTACCATGACTTAAAGGAAATTTATATTTTAAGATGAACCAAAAGAGTAAGCTCTCTAAACAAATGTCTTACAATATTTATATTTGATTACAATGCATATTCTTCTTTTCTTCAGGATATATGCAATCATAATGATAACACTAATAAACTCTTTAATGGATAGTAAGTAAACAGATTACTTATAATATGGCTTTGAGAAGCACTTTAGTATAGAAAGAAGTCATTAGGGGAGAAACTTAACCAGAAGACTGTTACGATTGAGCCTTACTTCTTAATGCCTCATCATAAGAAGAGTCTGAACAAGTGTTATATTTTGAAGAAGAAAGGCAGAGTTTTTAAAGAGTATTAAGAGTTTTAATTAGTACTTTCAGCAATAGTTAGTCAAAGATGGACTTCAGAATGAGAGCAATTATTCTTTCACTTCAGCATCCCTTTGGCAATTTGGTTTTACTGAAGTGAAGAGAAAACGAACAGATAGGTCTACGGTGAGGGAAAAATTGGGGAAGGTGGCATTCTAAGGTCAGTGGCAATCTTTTAGTCCTTCAATTACCTTTCACCCTTATCTTTGAAGTAGAGTCAAAGTCTGTGCTTTTATGAAGGAGGAGAATTGGGTATCTGTGCACTTTCTTTAAGGTATGATTCTGTTCTTCCTAAGATAAGAACCACTCACTGGATACTAATAGCACTGACAACTTTTTTTGTGATGTGAAATAAGAGTAATAGGTTTACATTTTAAAATATTAACTTATGTAGATTTTAAATTTTGGGTAATTTCTGATTCTTTTGGGCTTTCCACCTGCAGCTCAATGAGGATGCAACTCAAGAAAAAAACAGGAGAGAGTAAATTAACTTTGTCCTTCAAGATAGCTTTTCCAAAACAGACTTAGGAAACTCCTAAGCAAGGATGATAGTCACAAATTGATTGCAAGAGCCATCCACTTAAGAGAAAAAAGAAATGTTCTGATCTCCCAAAGCTAAAGTCTTCAAACTCATTAGAAGTAGGGAATGCAATGGTTGTTGCTGTAGACTGAGGGGAAGGGGAAATGAGAGTTGCTCCTGTTCAATATGTATAAAGTTTTTGTTATGTGAGATAAAAAAGTTTTAGAGATCTGCTGTACAACATTGAGCTTATGGTTAACAATAATGTACTTGTAAAATCTCAAATTTGTTAAGAGGGTAGATATGTTATCTTTTATTAACTGCAATAAAAAATATGAGAAAAGTTTGAAGGAAAAGGGGAGCAAGTTGAATCCTTATTAGATAAACAAATATTCTCTATTTATAATTTGGAAACACTTTTCTAAGACTCATCGAACAAGTACATTCCCATTCCCCTTAAGATTTCTTAGATAAGTTATAGATTATAGCAGAATGAAGTGTCTTCTTTGTCATTTTGGCTTACCGGAGAAAATTTAACGAGCCACGAGAGAGAGAGAGAGATGCCGTTCTCCATGTCATATACCCTGAATGAACAAATTGAAATAAATTGGATAAGTTATAAAAAAGTGTGTTATTGTTACAAGAATGTGGGAAGTTCATATCTGGTGTATTCAAGCAGTATTTTTTAAGACAGAAGATAAGTCTCATTGATGAACTATTAAAAAATACTAACATTTTAAGACATTTTTCTTAACTTTCTCTATAACATTAATGAATTATTTCATATCTATAAAATAGAAGAATTTATAACTTTTAATAAAGAAACATTATTTTAAAATGTTAGTGTATGTCTTGTCTGTTTTGACCATGTTTTCTAATGTGCTGTCAGCAACCCCAAACTAGAATGATGCAAAGAATGCACAAAGAACATAATGGCAGCTTCTTATGCTGCATAGCTATCAGACAAAATAATCAAGAATCAGTGTGAGATAAACCTAATCAATTGTACCTGAACACATGATTAATTTTCAAGAAATTAATTTTAATTAATTAATTATATCAGTTTAAGATGTCTTTAAAAGTATGTTACTCATACCTCATAAGTACTCATAAATAAAATTCTTTTTGTTTCATAGTCACATATCAAAAGTTGTCAAGTTATCTTACAAGTATTGAAATGTATTATCTTTATTATGGATATTGCTATGATTGTGACATTTCCAGAAAAGCAGAATTATAGTTATTTGTGTTTTTGTTCAGGCAACACAGAGTTCATACAAACTGATTGAAATTACAAATATATTTCCAGTTACAGATTATTTTTCACATATTAATATTATTAATTTTATTCACCTTGGAGGTAGTTTTGCAATTTTTAAGCATTTTGCCTTCTTTACTGAGTTGTTGTATGGAATATTCAGTGAATTACGTTTATTCTAGATATTTTTGGAAATTTTTAGATTGTTCTTTCTGTCTTTCAGAGAATTGTCTGAAAGAAATTGATTGCCAACAATTGTTCACAAATTGTTTCTCCAATATTAGTTTTCATCCACATAGGGACACTTAAGATTTTAAAAACTATTTAAAACGAATTTCAACTTTTACAAATACTTCTACTTTAAAGATAAATTCTATCTTTCATCAATGATATTTATATTATCTATTTAAATGTGTTTTTAGCACTTGGTATGCATTTTTTATTCTGCAATTAAGGAAGATTTTACAGTGGCATTTTAAATACAATTTCTACCACTCCATTTCATTATAGTGCTACAATTTAAAATGATTTTTGCTTTCAAGCTTGAATCTATAGAAAATAGCATGTGCAATCTCAGTTTATATTCAGTACATGTTTAGAAATAGGAAATGGATCCAAATGCTAAGAAACACATGCAAAATTTCAAAGCTCTCTCAGAGATTGCAAAAAACAAACCCAAATTCTATTAAAAGAATGAAAAATGCTTACCTTTAAATGAAATTTGTAATATCACGCCTGTGATATAACAATTATAGATAATTGGAAATCTTGCTAGAAGTACTCACTTTAAGCAAAATTGTTATTCTGAACAATTTTTTTATTTTGATAAATTTATAGAATGAACCAGATTCTTTAAAACTATTTCACCTATGTTTAGGTAAAATAATTCTACATTTGCTGGTGTCAGTCCCGAATTTCAAAGTTATTAGGAGATAAAATACTGTTCAAGGTAATTTCTCATAAAATCACTTTTTTCCCTCTAATCTTTATGTGGCATAGAAGGACCTCAGAACATATATAAACACAGTTTTCACTTTATCATTTCACTTTATACACTTTATCATTTACAAAAGTTTAATTTCCTGTGAATAGGGAAGGTAGAAAAAAATGAATATTTATTTCCCTTTGGTGGCAAAAGAAATAATTAAATCCAGATTTATTAAATTATTTCTTTATTTTAAAACATGTCCTTTCTTTTTACTACGGAACATTTAGAGATGGTTTATCTTTCTGGAAATTGTTTGATCACTTCATCGTATAAAGCATAATCTATTGTGACACTTACAAAACTGTATGTCAGATAGTAAATTTTAAAAGACATTATTACTAATGGAACAACCTGTCAATTTTTCTTTCCAACTTATATCACCTTGACAAACAGAGGTTCAGGTTAAGGGATATTTGCAATTGCATAATGCTGAACAAAAGTCAGTTGTATCCGTCTATTAAAATCACTCCCTTTTTCTCTTTCTTTATTCTTTTTAACCCTTCCTTTTTCTCTTTCTACTCTTCTCTGCCTCTACCTTCTTCTCCTTCTCCTTCATAACATGAGTTGTAGTACTTGAATAATAAAAATTCATTTAGAAATGCTATATGCCCAAAGAAGAACACATATCTCTATAACAAAAGAAAATATTAGTATAAACAGATTTATCTTAACTTCAGATAACTGACATTGCTCTCATTGGTCAAACAGCATCAACTTCAAATGAATGTCCTTCATAATCATTGAGTCACCATTTTTCGACGTCATTTGGTGATGAAGACTGTAGTAAGTATCATGATGGAGTTGTGATATCAAAGTATTAAAATGGAGAAAAATACATCATTTATAAAGTAAGAAACAAAATTTGGAAAGAAAGGAAAACTATTTGTAGAAACAATATTTACATATAAAGAAAACAAAATTATAGACAATTAAAACTAGGGAAAATATTTAGGAGCTCCTCTGGAGCTTACTCTTAAATTATTGATTTTATTTATCTAGGTATTTCATCTAATAGATATTTCAGCCTACATTTATATCTGAAAGATTTCATAGCACTTTAAGATTTAATAACATTGAGATTATATAAATATAACAAAGTAAAAATATATTAAAAGCTAGATAAAAGGGACTGACCAAAATTGTGAAGCCTCAGTGAGGAATGAATTCTGGCTTTTCTATCAAATGTGTTTTACAGTGTGTAATCCATACTTGAACCCTTTGTTTAATATTTCAAATCCTATTATACTTTTTAAATTTTCCAATTATTAAAATTTAATGTTACATCACATTTTACCTTTAAAGTATTTCATAATTGTGCTATCTATTGCTCTCTAACATTTGTATATGTTGTCCTTGTCTGATATTTCTAACATTTTGAATGATAATTATATCTTAACTACAGATTAGTCTAAGAATGTCAAACCCATTTTCAATTTGAGCAAGTCAAGTTCTCCTAAGGTGAACTTTCCTCTTCTCACCTCTGAAATCAATGTCACTTCAATGTCTCTTTGAAATCTCAAACTTGACTGTGTAAACAAATAACAGAAATACTACTATAAATATATATTTCTTAGAGAGGAGTTTGGCAACTGCTATTTTTCAGCAGTTTGAATATGATATTTCTGAGTGCGTGTATGTATGCACGTGTGTGTGCCTGTGCCTGTGTGTGGTATTTTTTCTTTCTTTCTTTTTTTATTATACTTTAAGTTTTAGGGTTCATGTGCACAACGTGCAGGTTTGTTACATATGTATACATGTGCCATGTTGGTGTGCTGCACCCATTAACTCATCATTTAACATTAGGTATATCTCCTAATGCTATCCCTCCCCACTCTCCCCACCCCACAATAGGCCCCAGTGTGTGATGTATCTTGATTTTCTCTAACCTCCTCAGATCTGAGGTTAGACGTCTGAAATTAATTTTGGAAAATTATTGGTTATTTTTCTTTCAAATTTTTCTTCTCTCCACTTATCTTTCACTTTGAGATTTTAATTACACATTTATTATATCATTTGATATTATTCCATGGCTCCCGGATTCTTTGTGAAGACTTTATTTCACCATTTTTATCATTATGCTTTATTTCTGTGATTTCTACTAACCTATCTTCAAATTTGTTAATTCTTTTTATGGCTTTGTAAAATCTACTGATCAACTCATAGAATACATTTTTTTTTTATTTTGGTTACTCTGTTTTGCATTTCTATCAATTACATGTGATTCTTTTTCAGTTTCCATATTTCTGCAGAAATTACTGCTCTGATCTTGCATTTAGTTTATTTGATGACAACCTTTAAAATATTAATTATAGTTATTATGAATTCACCTCTGATAGTCCCAATATATATAAGTCTGCTTCTGTTCTGCTTTTTTTAATACATCATTTTGTAATGTTTCTTGCAATTTTTTATGACTCATAATTGTTTTTGTCAGAAGACATCTTGTATAGTATAGCTGAAGCTTATTTAAATAGTATTTATGCCCTGAAATGGGCAAATTTTTCCCTTTGCTAGATCTTTAGTATGGGAGTTTGAGTCAGTAAGGTGAGCTTATTTATGTTACTGGGCTCAAATTCTTCTAAGATCACTATGTTTAAAATGGAGCCTGAGTTACCAGAGCGCAATTCTCACTCTTTGGTCTATCTGCAGTTTTAGATATCCCTTGTGTTGTGTCTCCACGTTTGCTGGTGTCTTTGGGACTATGGGTGCTGCTCTAGTATTCTGATCCAACTTCTCTGTTGGACAATTATAATGTCCAACAGTGACAATGTTCTTGCAGGACATTGTCAGAGTTCTTGCTACTTCCCAGCTCTACTTCTTGATCAAGCACATATTCCTGCCCTGTCTTAGTGGTAGATTTTTCCTTTTTCCTTTCTTCAGCTGCAATGGGTTTTCACTGGTACCCAAAGGAGGCAACGTTTTCTGTTGTACCTACAGAAGCTTAAGGTTTTTGCTCAGTAAGAGAGATTTGAGGAAATGGATTTAGGCAGGATTCTGCGCCTTTACTGCAGCCACCAGTGTTTCTATCCCAGGGATTATAGTATTGTTAAGGTACCCTGAAGGTCTGATAAATGTTAAACAGGTGATTTCCTTCTGACAAAAGTCTCTACATAGTGAGAAGTTTCTGAATTTTTTCAGACATCATTTACTACCACACAAACCTCCAATTCACTTTTCCTTATAACCTATTAAGTGAATTAATGTGTCTTCTAGTATTTTCTTTTGCCTATTTACCCCAAACTATCTTTTCTTACTAGCATTCATTTGTACATGATGGCCTAATCTAGAATTCATGAGTTAAAAACTAAAATTATAATAATAAATTAAATGTCTTTAAAATCAGAAAAAAATAGGAAGAGGGCTTTGAGAGTTATTGTTTCCTGGGTTTTTAAGAGACAAACTACTAGGATCCACTTATATCAGAAGTGAAAATAAAATTCATTAAGCTTGCACATCACATCATAAAGTGAGCACTGTTTTTTTCCCACTTACATTGAGCTTTTAATTTTTCTTTTACTTAGAAAAATAAAAATATTTCTGTTTTACGTGAAATTTTTAAGTGATGAAGAACCACTTATTTTTCAGGTTATAACTGGTAAATATGAAATTATTTTAGCTGATAAATTTTAATAGCTAAAATTATTTTGAAATTAGAGAATTAGTAGTTAAGTTTTCAGTCATGAAGGACAATATTCTATCAACAAACATAGATATATCTAAAGCAATATTAAAATGTATATGAGTTGTTTAAAACATCCAATGAATTACTTCTCAAAGCAGGAGTCATACTTTCTAACAGTATTGAAATAATCTGTCACAAATATATACTGATATTTTAAGAAGTGTCACATTATACCAGTGCTAATTTTCAAATCAGTCAGCACGTGCCCATTATTGAACTCAACTGGGAGTCACAAAGAATACAGTCCTACAACTGTTCATAATAGAATTGCAAGAGCTGAGACAAATGAAGAATGAAATTTGTTCAACAAGAACTCTTTCAAGAAAAAAATTCTTTCCACTTGATTTTATAAAATAAATCTTCTAAAAACCCTTGATTATTCTTTAATTACATCAGCAATCTAGGAGACCTGTGTCTAAATGGAAGAAAGGCCTTGGACTTCCCCAGGCATCCAATATCTCGATCTCTGCATCAGAACATGAAGAAATGGATGAGGGTTATAGTACATTATGCCAGAGTCAATGCCATTTGGCTCTTTCAGTTTCAGAAAATAAATTATATTTATTTTTTCAACTTAATTGCTAATAGGGAGGATACAATTATAAATACTTTCAATTATATATGACATGCAATTTTATAAGTACTTATTTTTATTCTAATATAATAATTATACAACTCCAAAACCTGGGTGATTGAATATGCTAAAACAAACAAACAAAAACAACCAACAAACTAGTCTGCCAACACCAGTATATTCTATTTTTTTGTTCTTTGGGAAGTACTAAAAAAATTATTCTCTAGTTCCACAAAGAAGTCTAACTAGCGCTACAGTAAAGACTCATAAATTCTTTGGGCAATGACATCTGGAAACGTTCCAGAAAAAACCTTAACTAATATGCAATCCATATGGCACGTTCCTGGAAGCAAACCTTCAGAGAGAATCAGAATATAGTCCAGCTGCTCTTTAACAGAACATGCAATGAATCTTCTGCAAACTCAACTGCTATACCTGTGCTTGAGAGACAGTTTTATTCAGCTTGATATCTATTAGTATGTAATAACTTTCTTTTCTCTTTTTATTTTTAGGTATACCCTAATCATGGTATTTTAACTCTTGCTTTTCTTTAGTTTTAAATATTTGTGGGTACCTAGTAGGTGCATATATTTGGTATTTTAACTTTTAACTTCATCTTTTAATCTGCTAAATTTTAGCCTCTATTTCCCCATTAGAACCAAACGTGACTTCTTTCCATTAACCACAATAGGGAGAAAATAATTGAAAGAATGAGATGGTTGAGGCATGTTTTGTTTGTTTTTTAAAATTGTTTCCATCTTCTAAAACCTTGAGAGATGGATAGATAGATATTTAGATATACTTAGAGATATTAATAATATAATAGCTACATATACTATTTATTATATAAGTAATGCCTATTACTTATATAAATGTGGTACCAATTTCTTATATGAAAGTAATGCTTATTACTTATCTAATATGCTTATTTAATAGACATTTCCTAAATTCCTTTTATGGATTAATTCAACCAATTTTGAGGCTATATCTGTTATACCCAATCTACATATAATGAAACTGAAGCTCTAGAGGTTATGTAATCTGTTCAAATTCACTCAAATAATAAATAATGAAACACAGACACAATACTATGCACAGGCTATCTGAAAAGTGACTCTTCTAGTTAATTGAAGAGCCCCTAGAATGGAGGACAATACATTTATCCCATAGTGTGTTCTGAAGACAAGAAATATGGAAGAGAAATACACACACACACACACCCATATCACTGAGGAAAAAACAAACAAATCACATTTATACAGTTTGCTTGACATAAATAATTGTCCATCATATAAACATATAAAGTTGTGTCATATGAAACCTTTGACCTAAAGTCTGACAGGACAATAACTGCTTAAAATAAAATCCAAGAGTGATATCTTACGAGGTTTTGCTAGTCACCAATTAAAAAAATAATTTATATTAGCTATTATCCATGGTTACTATAAATAACATTTTTCTTTGTAATTAAAATAACTTATTGAGTACTTCTATAATAGGCATTTTCTAAATTCCTTGCATGGATTAACTCATTCAATTTTGAGGCTAATTCTTTTATGCCCAATCTACAGATAATGAAACTGAAGCTCCAACGGTTATGTAATCTGTTCAAATTCACCCAAATAATAAATAATGAAATACAGACACAATACTATGAATGGGCTATCTGAAAGGAGAACAACACAGTAAGCCCATTGTGTATTTTAAAGATAAGAAATATGCTAGGGATATTTTAGAGAACATACTTACTGTAAGTCAAGCCCCTAGAGTTAATCTCGACAGTTTCAGACATTTTTGACAATAAAAGAATATCTAGACATTTTCTTCTGGGATACATAAGTGTCACTCATTACTATAGAAAATCTATGATTTCTAGTAGGAGCTGCAAAGCAGCGGCTGTAGTGCACTGCTTCTGGAACTGATCTCAGTGAAAAGAAGTAAAGATCAAGCAGTTTCCAACTAAAGTGAGATTCACTTGTAAATGTTTAAGAAGATAAGACATATTGAATAAGTGTGTAGAAAGATGGACTTTATGTGCACAATAAATACCATCATATCAAGCCATATTATGCTGGTATATAGGAAAGAAATTGACTGTTGCATAATAACTTTGTATCCTGTGACCTTTCTATTTCACTTATTAGTTCCAGAAGGTTTTTTATTTGTTGTTATTGATTCTTTGGAATTTAATATACAGGTAATGTTGGTATCAGAGAACAAGGACACTTTTATTTTTTCCTCCCCAATCTGTATATTTTTCCTTTACTTTTTTCTTTATTTTTCCTTCTTTACCACAATGATGTACTATAGTACATTAATTGACTTTCAGATTTTGATGATTTCTCCATCTGTTTTTGTGAGTAATATTGGTCTGAAGAATTTATTTCTTATAATGTCTGTACATGGTTTAGGTATTAGAGTAATGTGGTCCTCATAAAATTGGCTAGGAAGTGTTCCCTCTGCTTCTATTTTCCTGGATAGATTTTATAAAACTGGTATTATTTTTTCTTCATATATTTGATAAGATTCACCAGTGAAATCATCTGGATCTGGTAATTTTTTTTGTTGGAAGGTTACTAATTATTGATTCAATTTTTATAGTCCTATTAAGATTGTAAGTTTCTCCTTCTGTAAATATTGGCATTTTGTGTCTTTTGAAAAATGTGTCCATTTTTTAAGCTATCAAATTTGTGGACATAGAGTTACTTACAATATTTCTTCATCATCCCTTTGAAGTCCATGGGATTAGCAGTAATGACCCTACTTTTATTCCTGTTACAGATAATTTTCTTCTTCTCTATTTTCTTCTTGGTTAGGGTGGCTAAAGGTTTATTAATTTTATTTATCTTTTCAAAATACCAGCTTTTGGGTTTGTTCATTTTCTATAGCATTTTTATGTTTTCAATTTTCCTGATTTCTGCTCTAATGATTATAATTTATTTTATTCTGTTTGCTTTCATAGTAAACTACTCTTTTTTCTCTAGTGTTTTAAGGTGGAAACAGATTATAGATATTAAACCTTTCTTCTTTTCCAATATATAAATATAATGTTATAATTTTTCTTCTAAGCAGTGCTTTTGCTGTTTTCTACAAATTTCAATAAACTGTATTTTCCTTTTAATCTATTTTGAATAATTTTTATATGTCTCTTAAGGCTCATTTTTGACCCATTCTTTAGTAGTGTTGATTAATATCCAAATATTTGGTGTTCTTCCTTTTTCTGTTATTGATTTCTAGTTTGATTTAACCTGCTCTGGGAATATACTTTGCATGATTTCTGCTTTTTTGAGTTTTCTCATTTTTATGATCTAGAAAATAGTCTCTCTTGGTACATGCCCCATATGAGGCTGAAAGCATGCATATATTGCTACTGTGAGTGATGTGTTCCATTAATGTCTTTAACTGGTCTTTAGTCTTTGTCCCTATGCTGTGGCCTTCACAGGTAATTCTCAGCTTCTCTTTCTTATGTGAGATTGGAAGGTTAGAGGGGCTTTGGAGTTTGTTAATTTTTATTTCCTCACATCTAATCAAATATTGATAAGATCTTTTCCCTTACTGAGTAAGCCTTTGTTTTGGAGAACACTCTGGGTGTATTTCAAAAGGATTAGCTTTCCCTTCATCTTGCCATTAAATACCATGGTATTTTCTTGGCTCTTTACCATGAGAATCTAGTGGGCTTCTTAAAAGTAGACCCACTAGAATGTGGGAGACCATTCTCATAAGACTGCAGCCTCAGGAGTTTCCCACTTTCAGGCTAGTCTACACTCAGCTTCCAGAAATTTGTAATAATTACCATTTAGGTATTCCTACCAGTAAATAGCTGATAAGGCATTTCTTCTAGGCATGCAGGTATTGGCTGTGATTCTCTGTATTTGCATCTTTCCAGATTTTAGGGCAGCATTTTACCCTGCAAACTCAATTTTATGATGAATCCAAAAAGATCCCATAATTTTCAGTTTGTTCCTTTTTTTTACTTATTAGAGGTGCAGGAATATTGACTTACAAGTTTTTTAAAGAAGCTGGAGCTGCAGTCTAGAAGCAGAATTGCTTCTTGTCCTAGGAAACTTCAATTTTGCTAATAATTCAGAAGCTACATCTGCTTTCATTAAATCAACAATATTATATTAATCTTACTTAACAAAGAGTTACATAAAGATCATTCTGATTTTAGGGCTTATAGTTTTATGACCTTAAAACATCTAGCAGATGCAACTATGATTCTGTCTAACCAGTAAACCCAGAAAAAAATATATGCTGACATTTCTAAAGGCATTTTTATTTTTATTGTATCAAAAAAATTAAAACCAGCTTATTTATCAAAGATTTATCTCAGTTATATGAACTAAAAGACATTTGTGTTCATTACTATACATTTTAACTTCTTAATTTTGGGGATAACATCTGGCTATTGCCCAGGCTGGAGTGCAGTGACTGTTCACAGACATAATTATAGTGCACTGCTGCCTTGAGAATTCCTAGGCTCAAGTGATACCCTTGCCTCAACATCCTGAGTAGTGAATAGCTGGGCCTACAGGCATACACCACTGCACCTAGTCATTTTACCAATTTTTTTTTTTTTTTTTTTTTTTTGACACGGATTCTTGCTCTGTTGCCCAGGCTGGAGTGCGGTGGCGCGATCTCGGCTCACTACAAGCTCCACCTCCCGAGTTCAAGCAATTCTCCTGCGTCAGCCTCCCGGGTAGCTGGGACTACAGGCGCCCACCACCACACCCGGCTAAATTTTTATTATTATTATTATTTGTATTTTTAGTAGAGGCAGGGTTTCACCATGTTAGCCAGGATGGTCTCGATCTCCTGACCTCGTGATCCGCCCGCCTCGGCCTCCCAAAGTGCTGGGATTACAGGCATGAGCCACCGCGCCTGGCCCATTTTACCAATTCTTATGAGAATTCATTTATTGAAGCCAACTTGGATAGAATTCCATAAGCAATTTGTGGTCTACTATGCCAGCTTCTACCATGTAGACACAACGTATAACATAATACATGTACATCTGCATAAATACACCTAAACACATATACATACACAAAACAAAGATCTTATCACTTTGATTTTATAGTTTTAGTGATCAAAGAATAATAACATAATTTTACCAGTTTATAAGTAATATTTGAATCTAAATTATATTTTTGAAAACTAGGACATGTTCACATGGCTAAAATTTATTTGCCCCAAAAGGTAATCTTATACAGGCTGTAGAACAATTTTCTGGATAGATGTTTTGTATAGCAGTTTGATTTAAAAAAAAAAACAATTTTTATCTTTTTTTTCAGTATCAAATAATTTTAGGGTTACATTTTTAAATGTTTACATTTTAGTTAGAACTGACTGAATTGTATAAGCAAAACAAAATGTCCAAGCACCCTTGAATTTCAGCAATAAATCTATTCCTTGTTTGCTGATTTGGTTTCCCTGACATGGGAAGCATTTTTTTTAAAACTGATTTTTTCTGGCTTTTTCTGGCACATGTTTCCTAAAAAAAGCATTTTCTTATTCTGGAAGGAATATTTTATATTATTGCTCTGAGCTCAAGATTTTGACTTGTTTGTTCTGAGAGCTTAACTGTAAAAAACATTTATCTGATTCTCTTTTTTTAAGATTACCAATCTTTTGCTTAACTGTTCTATCATCCTAAGTGATAGCCAGACAAATCTAACTTTACATTTCCCAGAGGGATCACTCTTATGTGTACAAGGATAGGTTGTTTGTTGCCATGGAACTGCTATAATTTGAAAGCCCTTTTTTCTCCTTATCTTGGATGAACTGCCCTAAGGGGGAGGGAAAACATTTCTAAGTGTCTTTTGAAATTAGCAACAATAGATCATCTTAATATAAGAAAAACATTACCATATTTAGAAGAAGCAATTTTTTTTTAAAAAAAGAGACTAGAAGCTTCTATATGTCGATGTTTGTCAAACTCAAAGGTTATTTCCCCTTTTCAAGATAAAAAGATTCCGCCATGGTGTGTGTGTGTATATATATATCCCATGGTGTGTGTGTGTGTGTGTGTGTGTGTGTGTGTGTGTGTATGTATATATGAAAGTGAAAGGAGGCAAAAGTGAAAATTTAAAAGGAGTGGATATCTTGGAGAGGGCCAAGGTAGAAAGAAATAGATCATCATCATCATCAAGTTTGGTCTTCAGGTAGAGGTAGAGAATGTTGAGAGAAGATTGTACCATCATCTTCCTTTTGCAAAACACTTTTTTCCAGTGACATGCTTTTTTTGTGTGTTAGTTTGTTTTGTTTTGTTTTGTTTTGTTTTGTTTTGTTTTGTTTTACAATATTGACAGAGACCAGGGAATCTTCGTTTGGTGATTTATCTGGGAGCTTACATCTACTACAATTGAAGCTTAAGAATTTTAATAATTTTCTTTTTTTTAGTGTTTTCAAGGGTGGAGGCAAGTTGTTTTGCTAAATTAATTAGATTAGGAGTGGGCATGGTTTTCCGTTCTGTGTGAGCTCTTTTAAAAGCTGGGAAAATTTTGACAGAAGGCTATTCACAAACATGGAATTAAAAGCTACTCTAGTGGGATCAACTTTTATAGGTCATCTGGCATTAGCTGGGGAAGTTTTAAGAGACACAAGTTTGGAGCATTTGAATGATTTATTTAGCGGACATAAATTATCATTGATGTAATTTGTCCATTTATTTAAAATGTACATGAGAATGGACCATAAATTTTGAATGTATAGTCTGCTAGAATCCCAGAAAGCTTACCATATCTTAATATGCAAGTATTTTATTCCATTTCTTATTAATCTTTTGAGAGCAAAGAAAATCTTTGAAATCTAATCAGGGAAGGTCAACGGTTTGGACTGATGTTTTAAATGATAGAGACCACCCTATTGTCTTTTCGTTGGCCATCTCATCCTCACTATTTAGAATGTCTTTTTTGCCCTCAGAAAATGTTCAAAAACAAAAAAGGAAAATCCAAATTATTTACAAACATACGTAATCAAGTTGTAATGAAAGCAAAATCAGAGTACTCACAAAAATTTGAAGCCAGGCATTCAGATCAAACAAATGTTAAACCAGATACATAAAACCAAAAGTGAATTCACCAGAAAACATATGGTCCTCACAGTCAGAATGTAAACTCTGTAGGAACAAGAGTATTCTCTAAAAGAACTATGTCTTTATATTAAAAAGGGCTTGTCCAAAAAAAAAAAAAGACATTGCTAATCCCAAGAAGAATGCAAAGTCCTTTACATAAGTTAGACTTATTACAAAATCAGATTCTAAATAAAGTGAAAAAGAACTCACTAAAGGGAGGAAGCCTGAGAATCTGAGGGGAGATTCACCCAGACAGAAAACGTGACTCAGGGAAGAAAAGAACACAAAGAGCTCAGTCCGTACCATAGTCGATTCCAGGGCCTGCAGATCCATCTGAGGTGAGCTCCCTTTGGTCCCAATTCTGAGACACCAATTTATGTCGACTCAAATAACGGACATAGGTAGGCTCTCTAAAATAAAATAATATTTATTCAATAATAGGCATTGAAGTTGAAATATACATGTCTTAATAAGCTGTGCATATTCAGGGAGGTAAAGAAAGACAAAAAGTCTTAAAGGAAAAATTAGGAGAATTACATATTTCTTTTGAGATCATTTTTTCTTGATTACAAGGATCAGTAAAAAGGATGGCACAGTCCAAATCTGGACAGGCAGTTGCTGGGCAGATGGCCTTGAAGAAGTATTTTTTATGTGTGTGTGTGTGTGTGTGTGTGTGTGTGTGTGTGTGTGTGTAAGGTTGTGATGGTCTTTGTGCAAGGTAGCTGTTTTTGCAGAGTCTTTTGTGATAAGTTTTGTTATCAGGCATTCATGCATGAGAATCCTCCCCATATGGCCTTCCCTGGCCCTGTTTGTCAACGGTTTTAACACAGATGACTTTATTTTGATTCTGACAACTTTCCCATCATTGCTATCTTTGTACAAAAAGAAATGTACCTCCTTTCTTACTTTCTCAACTCTTAATTCTAACACTGTACATGAAAAACATACTGCTATTGACTACATATAAAATTATAATATTTTATTGCTATTCATTAGCCATTTTGAAGGCAGTAGAAAAGTGAAAATAAACACTGATCTTGATAGGGAAAGAGAATATAGTTTAGAAACCATCATTCTACCCAGTAGTTATTGTAAGTAATATTTGGGTGGTGTGTTAGATTTATATTGTTCCTATAATAAATTGCCACAAATTTAGTGGTTTAAAATAACACAGGTTTATTATGTTATAGTTCTAGAGGTGGAAAGTACTAAAGTCAAGGTGTTGGCTATGCCCTTCTGCAGGTATAAGCGGGGAGGGTCCATTCCCTTGTAAACACAAGAGTCTGCCCACATTCCTTGGCTCCTCATCCTTTCCTCCATCTTCAACTCCAGCAGGGGAAATACATTTACTTCACTTTCACTTCTGCTTTCATGGTTACCTTTTCTTCTCTGACTCTGCTTCCATCATGGCAATATCTTCTCTCTCTTTCTGACCTTTCTGCCTTCTTCTAACTCTCTAATGTAATCCCTGTTAGAGTACATTAGAATCTGGATAATTCAACATAATTTCCTCATCACAAGATCTTTAATTTAAGCACATCTGTAAAGCCCCATTTGCCATATAAAATAACATACTAATAGGCTCTGGAGATCAGAATATAGACATCTTTGAGAGGCTGTTATTCAGCCTAACCCACATGGTATTGATATAGCTACCTACATGGACACACACATAAACACACATTTCAGCATAAATTTGGGGATTTTGACATTTCCTTCTCATTGATCCCAAATACAAATTGTTTCTTTCCTTGACTGGCTGGAATTTCTGTTTAAATTTCTGAATCAAGGCATTAGAGGAGTTTCTAGCTTCACTGCAGCAGATCATAAGATAAAGATCTTGAGTTTTCAGTTGAAAGTAAGTCTAAAATTCAGTAATAATGAGATATGGCTGTGGAAAAATATGTTTAAAGAATTTTAAGCTGCAATAATAAAATTATGTCATCTAGTACAGCTGGGATGATATGCAGACTGTCCAGAAAACCCTATATACTAGCTACATGTACTATACCCATATATATTTATTCCAGCAGCTTCAAATAGCCCTGTTCCTAGCTAGACCTAATCAAGAAGACAATAAAAGATTTGGCAAAATTGTTTGAAGTTCTTGAGGCTGTTGACAGAGAGAATAAATAATTCATTTAGAAAGTAGGATTAGAAAGACATTTCTTTTCACAGTATTTTAAAAATTAGAAGGATTCAAAGGAGGTATCTTGCAAGGAAAAAGGGCTTTTTTTTTTTTACATTGTTGTAACTTTCAGTATCAAAGTCAAAACTCAAATACTGACTTTCTCATTCTAAGTCCTGTCTTCTGTGCATAACATCACAATGGTCTATAATGGTTTATGAAATATTACTGAGAGAATCAAATATGCAAAAGCCCATAGCAGAACCTGAGGAACAATGTTGTGGCCTGTGTAAATGCATGGAATCTGGAGCCGGACTACCCCAGAACAAATACTAATTTGTACTGTACTACTTGTAATACAAGTACTAATTATTAGCAGGTTTCTTATTTGTAAAATGCTGTTAATTTTGTCTAATTCACAGGGTTTTTTTTACCTATGAGAAATAAAAAAAGTTTATATATTTAAAATATTTTGCAATGGGTAAGAGCTCTTTCAGTATTAATTAATGCAATAATGAAAATTATTCTCTGGCACAAGAGAAGAACTCAGTAATTTTAGTTTCTATTTTCAACATGAAAATGTTACTATGGAAATAAATTAACATATATTCTAACATTACAACAGAATTTCTAGAAATCCAGAGAGTGGAAAAAATAAATTTGAATAAGATATCATCTTGGGTCTTTTTTATAATGTGAAATTTTCCTATTCACTTTTCAAGACAGAGCTCAATAGAAGTCAGTTCTCAAATCAGATATTTTCTTAACTTTTTATATAATCCTCAATTCCGGGTTCATCTAAATTAGGTCTTAAATAAAAACATTTTCATTTTAATGTTAATAGGGATATTAATGCTAGCATATGTCAAAGGAGGAGAGAAATGGTGGCTGTAATTGTGTATTTTGTGTGCCTTCTCATAACAGATTCCTTTGTATATAGCAAATGAGTAGAAATATCTTTTAAAATCTTAATTGGTAGTTGTCTGAATAGTGCCAGAATAAAGAAAGAATTTTACCAAAATTTTCCATTTTGCTCATTATTGTTTGCAGGGGGAATAATGGTATTTTGGTGACTATCAGTTCCCCATATTTGCCTTATTCACAGGTACTACAGTCCCAGTAATATAACCCAATTAATATATTTGACTCATAACCTCAATCAGGCTAAAGTGCTATAAAAGATACATAATTTGATTAAAGTACACATATAAATTTCAAATTTGTTTCTAAAATTTTAATCTGTTAAGACATAACATAAAAAATGTGGGTGCACTATACATATATCACTCCCGTATTATTATCTTCTGCATATTCACATCTTTGAATTGAATACACTATAATGAATCTTGGCTTCATCTAAGCTACTAATGTATTTCTCTCAAAAATACCAGACAATAATTAGACTGGGAGAATGAAATACATTCATTCATTGTAAGCTAGCACTAAATATGCATTTCAATTTGGTGCTTTGAAATTTATACATTTTTTACATTGGTTTAAGTATCTCAAGTTAATGTTCCTGTATTTTAAAATGGCTTTTTTTTTGGTCAGAAAGATTTCTCTTCACTTTTTTCTTCATGGCTAATCAGGATAAATTGGATTAAAATGATCTATTTAAAAGTTTAACACTGATCTTGTACTGCTTAAGGAGGATCTTCAATTGATTAATAGATTTCATGTCAAGATATATTTACTGGCTTTGTGTAATAATAGAAGTGGTAGAAGGAAGGTGAAATTAAAACTTCACTAATACTATCATTATTCAAACGATTTATCTTCCACAAATTCTATCATAACTTACTTCCAATCCCTAAATTGTTTAATGTTATGAGTACATAGTGATGCCAGTAGTGTCAGTTAGATTCCATTTTTTCCAGAGTCATTCTATATTGTGCTTCACCTAGTTCCTTCTTTTAAAAACCAACCTATTGAAATAAATGAACAAATCCATCTTTCCTCTGGCTTCATGTTTGTTTCAGATAATGGGAAGACCCAGTGAGAGAACAAAGGAGTCAGTGATTTTTGTAACAAGGTTAAGCGTGCTAGATTGAGTTAATACATATAAAATTCTCACTCACTGGATCATTGACTAGGAAGGTTGATTCTTAGTCCTGAGATAAGGAAGGTATTCAAAGAAGATGCTTTGGGACGTAATATAGGTGGCCAGGGTCACAAATATATCAAAAACAAAAACCGGTGCAACAAAGGGACAAGAGTGGGGTGCTGTTTTGGAGGACAGTGCTGTTAGATTATTAAAGATCATATTAGGCTTCTTCAAAATTTGGTGTGTGACTGATGTGTAGATTTTTGGCTTTCCATTGCAAAATTATTATTGGAATAAGTAGCAATCTTATTGCTGTAAATTGAATGTGTCCTCCCCTGACCCACAAATCCATATGTTGAAGTTCTAATCAGTGATGTAACTAGATTTGGAGATGGGGCCTTCAAGAAGGAGGCAGTTAAGGCTACATGAGGTCATAAGGTGGGATATGGATAAGATAGAATTATTGTATCTACAAGAAGGGACTTCAGAGTGTTATCTCTTTCTCTGTCCATGAAGACAGAGCAAGAAGGCAACTGTTTGCAAGTCAGAAAGACAGATTTCATCAGAATTTCCACCATGCTGGCACCCTGATCTTTGATTTCCAGCCTCCGGAACTATTAGAAAATAAATTTCTCTTTAAGCCACCTACTTTATAGTATTTTGTCATGTGAATTATGTATTAGCCTGACTAATACACCTGTATTGTATCAACTGTATTCTATTCCTTAATTTTAAACCATGATTCGCTTCAAATACTATGGTGTCAAAATAAAATTTGATTGTATATCTAATGACTTATATATAAATTAATTTTGACATTTAAAACAATATAAAGGAAAGCTTTCTGTAAAAGAAGTTGATTCTCACAGGTTTTGCTTGATTTTTTGTTGATGCTGTGGAGAGACAAGCTCTTGGAGCTATCTACTCTGCCATTTTCACTAATGTCTTTGTTCTTTTTTAGATGCCCTAGTTATTCTTCAATTACTCTTGCAAGGAAACTATTTGGAATCAGAAGCAACACAAGTTAACATGTTTTTCACAACCATAAATGTAGTTTACATTTTTAGAATCTATATTTATTGAAATAGTGCCAGTAGCCCATTATTTTGACATTGTATTAGGAACCATACCCGTAATAAGAGAATCAGGAAACAAATGAGAAACTACGTTGCTCATAGCACTTTGATTGTGAGAAAGCTAATCCCTTTGTGAGTTCTGCTATGAATGAGATAACAGAGCAATAGCCTGTGGTAAGCATAAACATAAAGGAAATTAACCTTGTTAGTCCAATAACAGATAGACCATTGAAAAGGTATTCCTCTGATTAATCTACTATGGTTTTCTTATAGGAAGCATTTATAATTAAATAAATGGGTTTTTCCTTTTCTCTGTAAATTATCATTGCTTTTCAAGCAATTCCCCTTTAAGGGTACTTTATATGAGTATCGTTTTAATGTGGTATTGACATTTTGCTGTGATTATCTATCTTGTCCTATTATTTTCCAATTCCCATTATTAAGACCTTGATGATTATAATGAGGATGATGATTAATTTTTTTATCAAAGCATTAGAGTAAAAAAACTGTCACTTCATTTTTGTCCCAAATTCTAAAATTGTCTGTAGTCTTCTTAGAAATTTCCTGAAAAAGGCAACTGTCTAATCTTATCTGGTGGATGCTTCTCCGAAGGACTTGATTTCCTGGGAATACGACCAGCCCCCAACGACCCCTTGTCCCCACTCCGGCTGTCCCTTGGCCTGGGTCCTAGGGAAGGAAGCCATGCTGGGGCACCAGGACTACAAGACTGCCATGCTGTCGGACATCAAAGCCCTCATTCTCAAGCACGAGGCCTTCGAGAGCTACCTGGCTGCGGCACACCAGCACCGCGTGGAGCAGATCGCAGCCTTTGCCCAGGAGCTCAACGAGCTGGATTACTATGACTCCCACAATGTCCACACCCGGTGCCAGAAGATCTGGGACCAGTGGGACGCCCTCGGCTCTCTGACCAACAGTCGCAGGGAAGCCCTGGAGAAAACAGAGAAGCAGCTGGAGGCCATAGACCATCTGCACCTGGAGTATGCCAAGCGCGTGGCCCCCTTCAACAACTGGATGGAGAGCGCCATGGAGGACCTCCAGGACATGTTCATCATCTACACCATCGAGGACACTGAGGGCCTGATCTCAGCCCACGACCAGTTCAAGTCCACCCTGCCGGACGCTGACAGGGAGCACGAGGCCATCCTGGCCATCCACAAGGAGGCCCAGAGGATCGCTGAGCGCAACCACATCAAGCTGTCAGGCAGCAACCCCTACACCACCGTCACCCCACAGATCATCAACTCCAAGTGGGGGAAGGTGCAGCAGCTGGTGCCAAAACGGGACCACGCCCTCCTGGAGGAGCAGAGCAACCAGCAGTCCAACAAGCACCTGCGCTGCCAGTTCGCCAGCCAGGCCAACGTCGTGGGGCCCTGGATCCAGACCAAGATGGAGGAGATCGGGCTCATCTCCACTGAGATGAACGGGACCCTGGAGGACCAGCTGAGCCACCTGAAGCAGTGTGAAAACAGCATCGTGGACTACAAGCCTAACCTGGACCTGCTGGAGCAGCAGCACCAGCTCATCCAGGAGGCCCTCATCTTCGACAACAAGCACACCATGGAGCACATCCGCGTGGGCAGGGAGCAGCTGCTCACCACCATTGCCCCAACCATCATCGAGGTGGAGAACCAGATCCTCACCCGCGACGTCAAAGGCATCAGCCAGGAGCAGATGCAGCAGTTCCGGGCGTCCTTCAACCACTTCGACAAGGATCATGGTGGGGTGCTGGGGCCTGAGGGGTTCAAGGCCTGCCTCATCAGCCTGGGCTATGACGTGGAGAACGACCGGCAGGGTGAGGCCGAGTTCAACCGCATCATGAGCCTGGTCGACCCCAACCATAGCGGCCTTGTGACCTTCCAAGCCTTCATCGACTTCATGTCGCAGGAGACCACCGACACGGACATGGCCGACCAGGTCATCGCCTCCTTCAAGGTCCTGGCAAGGGACAAGAACTTCATCACAGCTGAGGAGCTGCGAGAGAGCTGCTCCCCGACCAGGCCGAGTACTCTATTGCCCGCATGGTGCCCTACCAGGGCCCTGACGCCGTGCCCGGTGTCCTCGACTACAAGTCTTCCTCCACAGCCCTGTATGGCGAGAGCGACCTGTGAGGCCCCAGAGAGACCCGGACCCAACACCCCCTATGGCCTCCAGGAGGGGCCGGGGCAGCCCCACAGTCCCGTTCCTCCACTCTGTATCTATGCAAAGCACTCTCTGCTGTCCTCCCGGGTGGCTGGGTGGGCAGGGAGGGGCTGGGGCAGGCTCTCTCCTGTCTCTTTTTGGGAGTTGGCCAGGAGGTTCCCCCGACCAGGTTGGGGTTGGGGAGACTTAGGGCCAGCGCTTCTGGTCTGGTAAATATGTATGATGTGTTGTGCTTTTTTAACCATCTTGCAGGAGACAGTGGATTCCCACAGCACAACCGGTCCCTTCCATGCCCTGGGGATGCCTCACCATACCCAGGTCTCTTCCTCTGCCCCGAGGTCCCTTCAAGGCCTCCCCATCCAGGCCAAAGCCCCATGTGCCTTGTCCAGGAACCGCCTGGGCCATGCGAGGGGCCAGCAGAGGGCGCCACCACCACCCGACGGCTGGGGACCCACCCAGCCCCTCTCCCCTCCCTGCTCCAGACTCACTTGCCATTGCCAGGAGATGGGGGCCCCAACCAGCACCCCGCTTTCGCAGCAGAGGAGCTGAGTTGGCAGACCGGACCCCCCTGAACCCCACCCCATCCCACCACCCCGGCCTTGCTTTGTCTAGCCTCACATGTCTCAGATTTTCTAAGAACCAAAAAAAAAAAAAAAAAAAAAAAAAAAAAGGAAAAAAAACACAAAACAACAAAAAACAAAAAAAATCACTAAAAACACAAAAAAACTATAAAAACTTTCAGAGAATTACTAAATAAACAAATAAATAAATAAATGAAGTTGTTTCTTACATCAAATCTGCATTGTTACAAATTATATAATTTTGCTGTGGATCACCGGAGAGATCAACAGCTAGTTGATATTATCTTTTAATGATAAGAGTAGAACGTTTTAGACAGCCATTTAATAGTGACAGGAGAAGCAAAATATGAATAAAATGTATGTTGAAAATTCATTGATATTTTTCAGGTCAACGTTGAAATCACTTCAGAAAGGTTTTTATGTTTTTTGGAGTGATATTCTCCAAACTCAGTAACTTATTACAACATTCGTTGCTAGGAAATTATGTACAATTTACTATACTGAGTTTATTATAGGATACAGCTCTCTAGTAGTTTTAAGATTAGCATTTCAGTGCACTCATCAGTCACTCTTTAATATAGTAATCACTTCCTTACACGAAAGAAACCTGGGAAACAAATCATACAGAGTATTAGAGATTTTTACAGTTTTACCCTATAATTTTAATGCCCTATTTACAATGAAATATGTGGAGTTTTTAGAAATATTTGAAACTAGTTTTATTAATTATTTAATAAACATTAAATTATCATTTGCTAAGTTCTAAAAATAATTATAAAGTAAAATTAACTAATTTAGTTCTCATGAAATAAGTATGTCATATGTTCTTATTTTATATTTAAAGGAACTGAGAAGGGAGAGTAATTTTCCCAAGGTTTTTCTCCCTGCAAATAAATACTGATAAAGTTGAAGACCTGAGGCATGAACCCACATAGACTGGCTACCACTCAGTAGTCTTAACCACTACACAACGTTGCTTTTCCAGGATGCATATATAGTTGTATATTTAAGGATATATATATATATATATAGCTTAAGGTGGCCGGGCATGGTGGATCACACCTGTAAGCCCAGCACTTTGGAAGGCCAAGATGGGTGGATCAGGAGTTCAAGACGAGCCTGCCCTACATGGTGAAACCCCATCTCTACTAAAAATACAAAAATTAGGTGGTCATAATGGTGTAAGCCTGTAGTCCCAGCTATTCGGGAGGCTGAAGCAGGAGAATCTCTTGAACCCAGGAGGTGGAGGTTGCAGTGAGCTGAGATCATGCCACTGCACTCCAGCCTAGGTGACAAAGCAAGGGCTCTGTCTCCAAAAAAAAAAAAAAAAAAAAAAAAAAAAAAATGAAATCTTTACCTAGCCACAAGGATACATTGTATCTACTAACTGTATATTTCTCCCTGTATCTTGGATAGCACCATAATTCATCTCTATTCTAAGTTTGGTATCTGGGAACCACGTTAAATGCCACTTTCTTTTCAACCCAGATCTACTGAGTCTCCAAATTGTCTATTCTGCTTATTATGTTTATATACCTCCCCACTTCCAGTTTCGGCCAATCCATTACTTTTGCTTTGGTTTAGGCCTTTATTTTTCTTCTACTGGTTGATAGGGGCAGCTTCCCAAGGCGTCACTCTGGCTCTAGCTTAGTCCTTCCCCAACACACTCTTTATACTAGCACCACCATGTTGTGTCAAGGACTAAAATTGAGATGTGATCATCTATAACTAGAAAGTCAAAGACAATTCAAGGTTGTCAGAATTAGGCACATATTTTGCTTTCCTTATACATGAATAGCATTTTCTTGACTGTCAAATCAGTAGCATTTCCAGCAAGTTTGAATCTATTTTTATATAAAGTAATGTGAATGGATTAGATTAAGATAGCAATTGGGGAGGGATTTCAGAACTCTGGGCAGTAACTGAATAAACATCATTTGGATCACAGAATGTTCCACCTTTGAAGATTGTCAATAGTATTTGTTATCTTTGAAGCTGTCTACTCATCATGCTGAATGTCCTCAGAATTTTTAAGGACACTCAGAGAATGCTACCTCTATCCAGATAGTCAGAGGAATGCCATATGAACTTCTCTGTTATTCCTCCAGATGTCCTTGGGAGTTACAAGGAAGAATGTGTATTTCTTAAAGGTCCATACCCATAATTTATCTAGGTTTGGGAAAAATTATCTGTTATTATCCTTTTGAATAAACTGTCTACCCCTATCTCTTTTCCTACCTCCACTTTAAGGACAATAACCCTTAGATTTGCCATTTTGAGGCTACTTTCTATATCCTGTAAGTGTGCTTCATTGTTTTTCATTGTTTTCTCTTTTGTCTCCTCTATTTTCAAATCACCTGTCTTCAAGCTCACTAATTCTTTTTTTCTACTTGATCAATTCTGTTAAGCGACTGTTAAAAGACTATGATGCATTCTTCAGTATGCCAATAGCATTTTTTAGCTTCAGAATTTCTGCTTCATTCTTGTAAATTATTTTAATCTTTTTGTTATATTTGTCTGATATAATTCTAAATTCCTTCTCTGTGTTGTCCTAAATTTCTTGAGTTTCCTCAAAACAGCTATTTTGAATTCTCTGTCTGAAAGGTCAGATATTTCTGTTTCTCCAGGATTGATTCCTGGTGCTTAAGTTAGTTCATTTATTGAGGTCATGTTTTCCTGGGTGGTCTTGATACTTATAAATATTTGTCTGTTTCTGGGCATTGTAGAGTTGGGTATTTATTGTAGTCTTCTCAGTCTGGGCTTGTTTGTACCTATCCTTGTTGGGAAATCCTTCCATATATTCGAAGTACTTGAGTGTTGTGCTCTGAGCTGTATCTGCATTAGGGGTTACCCAACCACAGTAACACTGTGGTTTTTGAAGATCCACAGGGGCATTTCCTTGATGGTCTTAGACAAAATCCAGGAGAATTCTCTGGATTCACAGGCAGAGATTCTTATTCTCTTTCTTCAGTTTCTACCAAACAAATGAAGTCTCTCTTTGTTATGAGACACTTAGAGCTGGTGGTGGAGTGACACAAGCACCTCTGTGACTACCACCACTAGGAATGTGCTAGATCATACCTGAAGCCAGTACAGCACTGGTTCTCACCCAAGGCCTGCTGTAATCACTCAATGGCTACTCCTTATGTTCATTCTAGGCCCTGAAGCTCTACAGTCAGCCAATGGCGAAGCCAACCCAGCTTGTGTCCTTCCCTTCAAGGCGACAGGATTCCCCAGGTCCTTAGACATCTTCATGGTGTTCTATTGTACTGTGGCTGAGCTGACACTCAAACCATGAGACATAGTGCTTCACATTCATCCCTCTCCTTTCCAAAGGCAGAGGAGTCTCAGCACATGGTCACCACCATCACAGCCCACAGACAGTCCTGACAGATGACTGTCATTGTTCCTTTAAGGCCCAAGGTCTCTTCAGTCAATTTGTATTTAATGCTGCCTGTGCTGGTACTCACCATTCAGGGCAACAGACTCCACTGTGGTCCAGGGCAGGTCCGGAAATGCTGTCTAAGAGCCAACCCAAGAGCCTCCTTGGTGTTCTACTCCTCTGTGGATGAGCTGGTAACTAAAAGGTAAGATAAAAATCTTTACTCTTCCCTTTTCATTTCTAAAGTGGGAGGAGTCTCACCCTATAGCTACCATAGCTAGGACTCCTCTGAGTCCCACCTGAGGCCAGAAAGTCTCAGAAACTCACCCAAGGCCCTTGAAATAGAACCTTGCTATCATTGTTGGTTATTCATGGCCCAAAGTTTCTTCAGTTAGCCGTTGACAAATCCTGCCAGGACTGGGTCCTTCTTTTCAACGCCAAGGCTGCCTTTTTGGATCAGGGTGTTTCTAGAAGAGTTATCTGGGAGCTAAGGCTTGGAAACGGGGACTCACGACTCTGACCAGTGTCCTATCCTGCTGTGGCTGAGCTGGTATCCAAATCCAAGACAAAGTCCTCCTTCCTTAAGTGGAAGGAAGGGGTCTCTTTTGGAGTCACAAGCTTTTTTTAATCTGGGTTAGGAGACAGGTGATGCCAGTATTCCCTTAGTCATCCTGGCTGGTATCTTAGTAGGTTATGTGCCCCCCCCGTTCCCTGGCTCTGGGCCTAGTTCAGCACTAGGTCTCACCTAGGAATTTCAGTTCTTGTGGCCAAGGCTGACTTTCTATTTTATTTAGGTGCCCAAAGCCATGTTAGTTCACAGTGGTTAGGCTTGTGGGAATTCAAGTGCGGACCACTGGGAAGGGTGATTCCCCTCTGGCTAGGGCTGGCTTAAATACTTTCTCCATGGGTGGGCGTCAGCTATGTTTGGTCCGGTTTTGTTTTCTGCTATAAAAGGGTAGCACTACATGTTCAATGCCTCACAATTGCTGCACTTTACCTCTCACAGAACTGCTCTCTCTACCATACTGCCACCGCTGGGGACTGGAGGAAGGGTGTCATCAGTGACTCAAGACTATTTTTCCTACCACTTCAGTGCCTCTTTCATCAATATGAATGCAAAACCAGATACTTCGATTGCTCACTTGATTCTTGGTTTTTATAAAGTAGATTTTTGTGTGTGTGTATGTTTGTAGATAGTTGTTAACTTTGTGTCCTTGCAGGAGGGACAATCTGTGGAGACTTCTATTCTGCCATCTTGCTCCACCTCCTCCATCATCCACACTTTTCAACTCCTGCATATTTCATAATGATATGTTAAGTGGGTGTATTAGTTTGTTCTCGCATTGCTTTAATGAATACCTGAAACTGAATAATTTATAAAGCAAAGAGGTTTAATTGACTCCCAGTTGTGCAGACTGTACAGGAAGCATGACAGCTTCTGCTTCTGAGGAAGCCTCAGGAAACTTACAATCATCATAAAAGATGAAGAAGAAGCAAGCCAGAACTTGACCAGAGCAGGAGGAAGACAGGGTAGGTGCGACACACTTTTAAACAACCAGATCTCATGATAACTCACTCATTCACTATCAAGAGAGTAGCACCTATGATAATTCACTCATTCACTATCAAGAGAGTAGCACCTATGATAACTCACTCATTCACTATCAAGAGAGTAGCACCTCAGGGATGATGCTAACGCTTTCAAGAGAACTCTGTGCCCATGATCCAATCAGCTCCCACCAAGCCCTACCTCCAACACGAGTGATTACAATTTGACATGAGATTTGGATGGGGAGACAAACTCAAACCATATCAGTGGGATTAAAATAATAACTTTTGTTTTCATTATCACTATTTTTATTTCTGAATGAATGCATGTATTTCACTTGTCTTAGACTGCTGTGACATATTACCATAGATAGGTGGCTTACACATAACACATTTGTTTCTCATAATTTTGGTCTCTGGAATTCCTTAGATCAGGCGGCCAGCATGGTTGAGTTCTGGTGAGGGTCCTCTGCCAGGCTTCAGACTGCCGACTTCTCACTGTATCTTCACATGGTAGAGAGAAGAGAGGGGAAACAAGTTCTCTTGTAATGACTTTTCTAAGGGCACTAATCTTGTTCATGAGGCTCTGCCCTCACGAAGTCATCAAATCTTAATTACCTCCCAAAAGCACTACCTCCTAATACCATCACAGTGGGGATTATGGTTTTAACATGAATTTGGAAGGATCATTCAGTCTATAACACCAAGAACATGTGAAACTAATCCTAAACATGGCAATGAGAAAGTTTGATCTGAAGTTCTAGAAAGAAATAAAGTGGTTTTTCTAAATAGAATTATCATGAGACAATGAGGTTAACTGTAGAAAGATTAAAATGACTAAGATTTCAAATGGGGATTTGGGGGCAACAGGAATAGTTTTGGACTTTTGCAAGTATGTGGATCCTGTGTTTTGATTTAATTCCACCTGGAGTAAGAATACCTTTGTTTGAAATGTTTGCTCCTCGGTGCCATAAAGAAACAGCACTTGAACATAAATTTAATTTATTTATTAGGGCCATTTTTACTTCCTGCAGAAAGGGTACACTCACCAGCAGTTTTTCCACGAGAATATACCGAACAAAGGTGACAGGGCCATGTTTAACCTGATGCGTCCACCGTACTGCCGTGTCTGGCTTCCACTGGCTGGAACGGAACCTCACATTCTCTATTTGTCCCGATTGGCTAGAAACTTAGAACTTTTTAAAAGAGGCAAAGGTAGAGAGGAACAAAGGAAGGAGGAAGCAACTTGTGGAACGCTGAGAAAGGTAAAAACACTTTTAAATAAGGAAGAGGAACAGACAATGACTTAATGCTTGCTTGGAGCAGTATAAGCATGCCAGGGCAAATATTTAGGCTAAATTGTGGGAGCTAAGAAGATAAAGTATACTGATTTCTTTACTAAAGCTAACAGATATTAAAGAATGTTAGCACAGGTCTTTGAATAAATTTTGCTTCTAAGAGAAGTTACTATTTATTCCTAATTAGATGGGGAGGAAAGTCTTTGAAGAGGAACCTCTACTTTACTTTTTACACCTTTAAGATATAAAGTGGTTTATTGTTTGAAAAAAGTAAACTCATCATGATAATTCTCTATCCCACAATTTAGAAGTTAGAATTGCATGATGGTAGAGAATAAATCGCAATAATAATATGGTCATTGGTGATATTTAGAAGTCATGCATTCAGGTCTAGACAATGGCACATTTCTAATCATTTTCTACATATCATTTGAGCAAAGACAAATTAAATAGTAAATTTCAAAGCTTGTAAAGAAGGGCAACTCAGTATTTGCTAAGGTTACTGAAATTTTGTTTTACCAGTAAACTAGAAATTAAGGAGATAAAATGTTCTGGTAAATAGTGTTATAAATGGACATGAGACCCGGGTGCCTTACTTGCTCCTCATGCAAGCCAAATGAATGTTCATTGGCTTTTTTGTCTTCAGTGAAGTAAACAGAAAATTAAACTATTTGGAGCAGCTCATGATATCCTCTTCATTTTATACCATTATAAGTTGGTGAAAAACAAGTGGATCAAGGTGAAAGAACAAAAAGGAGAGGAAAATAAGATTCCACTTCATTACAAAAAGGAATTCTTCTTGACCGTCATTAGACCATCCTCACTTTTTTGTGTTCACGCATCCATATATTCTACCATATTTTTTAAAGGGATGTTTATAATAAAAAGTCCCACAAATGCCAGCTAATAAAAGCCTGTGTTTTTGTGTTCATAAATGGTAAATCCCAATACGAGATAGTTATGGTTGGTTGTTTTATGGGAAACACCATAAAATTTTTAATAAACTTTCTAAGCATGCTCCAGAAGGAAAGACATCTATCCATACAGATGTAAATGTATTAGCGGTATTTTGATATTCAGTCATTTGGCAAATGAGAAAATTGTAAAATAGTAGGGATAAATTTTAAATGTATGTCATTATATCTGGAAATGTAAATTTACTATGGAATATAAATACTAACAATATCATATTGTATTTATCCTTGGTGGTATATTAAGAGACATAAATGTATTCATTGTGATTTATAGTAATGTGTCATTTGTCAAATCTCAATATGATGTACTTGCCTTTTGGATGAGGTGGTACTAAAACTTGGAAAGAAATGTGAGTTGGAGAACATACATTTATTTTGTTAGAAGAAATTGTGATGGTTAACAAAGCTAACCATTTAAGCAGGTATATTCTCAGATTGTTCAAGTCACTGCAATAATTAATTCCAAATGAATTTTATTTTGAAAATACTACTTATAAAATATGTTTAAAATTTAATCCAGTAATATGTTCTTTCTTATCTATTTCATGAATTAAAGATATGAAGTAAAAAACAAAAGAAACACTATTAAATCTATTTTATATATTTATTTGATGAAAAATTATTTTTTTCTATGATAGAATGAACCTTGGACCATTGTTTATCATTTTGTGTCTTCAGGACTTACTTGCAGGTTTCTTGTGGTATTTTAAACTGAAAATGATTTGATGTTAGGGATTACTTGTTTAATACAGGAGTTGGCTATTGGTAGGATCTCAAAGAATGACTCCAATGTGCCATGACTCCAATGTCCTGCTGGAGGATCTGGTGTTTCTGACCCTGACGTGGATGAGGGGACAAAAGGGACTTCCAAGGCTTGCATTACAATAGATTGTTGGCTCCTATCCCTCCTGCTCAGAACTAGACCCTGGGATGTTACTGAATAAAACCTTAGATCTTCTCAACTGTATTTTCTGACAGAAAATAATTAAATAGAATGCCAGTCCACCATAAAAATATCACACAAGTGTATCTCTTCAATAAAAAGCAATTTGCTAATAAAAGCTAAGAGATATGTAACTTTTAATGTTACTACTTCTTCAGGACAAGTAGGCACACAAAAAGACACAATGAAAAATGAGAGCACTAATCCCACATATTTACCATAATTTACATTACTTTTATATTTCAAAGTATTACTGATTTTCTTGTTCCTCTAAAAATAAAATAAATGGAGAATAAGAATCAAATAATATTTGGATTTGTAATAAAACGTTTTTATGCATTTTATGTATGAAATGAGATATATGATTTACTTAATTTGAAATATGATTGCTGATATTATATATAATCACATCGAAACTTTGCAATTGTTAGAGAGACTAAAACTTTTAATATGTTCTCCTCAACTTAGTTTTAATGGTGAGTTTTATTCTATGCTAGTAATTGAAAAAGAATAAATGTGAATGGCATGCTCTCTGCTTTTATTGTATTAAACTATGATCATATATAAAATGAAAGGCTTCCAGCACCTATCGAGTTTTGAAAACTCTAGAAACCATAGAGGTATGAAGGAGAAAAAAGTGGAAAGAAGGACACAGTCACAAAAATGGTTTTCAGCCTGTAGTGACACAGGCTACAGGCCAGAGACATCAGCTAGCTGATGTGATGATGTTGGTTCACCTTACCCTGCCCAATTAATCTTGCTAGCAATTAAAAAAATTCTGAGACTTATTGGCTTATATACGCATGCCTTTTGAAAATTTCAGGATATAGTGAGGTAGTTTAAGATCTCACCATGGAAAATATTATGAGACAAATGACAAACACTGGGGGGGAAATGATTAGATTTTCATCTTGCATTTGACTACTCACTAGCTGTGCTTCCTTGGGAAAATTTTTTATAATCCTCTGTGCCTCAGATTTTTTATCTATAAAGTGAAGAAAATAATAGAAGCTAATACAGGGTTGTTGTGAGTGCTAAATGTTATAGTCCACATAAAGCTATTAGAATAGTGAGTATTTAATAAATCATTTATATTTATCATAGGCATAGCAATGATAAACCATTCAGTAGAGTTAGAGTAATTCAACAAGATATAAGTCTCTTCATTTTTCTTTAAGAGTTATGAATAAAACATCTATGATAAACCTTTAGTAAATTATATTAGATACTAATAAGCTTATACCCACACCCATATATACACACACATATATATATACCATAAACTAAATGGAATAATTGTTAAATACTGCATGAACTGAATGTTTATGCCTTCCCCTAAATTTGTATGTTGAAAATCTAATCTCTAGTTTGGTGGTATTTGGAGGTAAGGTTTTTGGGAGATAATGAGGGTTAGGTTAGGAGCTGACTGTGGAGATACCATAATGGGATTAAATGTCTTCATCAATAGAGGAAGAGATATGAAATTTCTTTTTCTGCCTGAAGGTACCAAGGAAGGACCATGTGAAGACAAAACCAGGAAAAAGGCACTCACCAAGAATTCCATCATGCTAGCACCCTGTTCTTGGACTTCCAGACTCCAGAATGGTGAGAAGTAAATTTCTGTTGTTTGAGCCACTCATTTATGCTAATTTGTTACAGCAGCCTGAGTTGACTAAAATGAACACTAAGTTAATCTTAATTAATTATAATTATAGTCAAGTAAAATATTTAAGTGATGAATCATGAATATCTACAAATGTAACAATTTAGATATTTATTTTCATGTGGGACAGTGAGTGTTATAATTACCATATTTATAGATTATATTTGTATTTTTCCTCAGGTTCACTAAAAATAGAAATTCATCAAAATGTAGCAATTTTATGAAAAATCAGTGTATGAAAGTTTAATTCCATATCACCTTTGCTATACAAATCATAAAATGGACTCAATGAGAAAGTTTTCATACAAAAACATATATAAATCTAGGTATTTGACCTTCACTATACCATATATTTTTACACTTGTGAAAAAAGATTTAAAAGTTTTTAAAGCTTAAATGAATTCGGAAATTTTCATGATATTTGTAAATATATATAGGAGTGATTCCTGAAATCCCAAAATGAATTAAAATTTAATTTCAAAGTCATAATTTAATCTATTCTTGTATTTAAAAATCCAGATGTTATAATTTATTTATTTTATATGTATTTATTTCATAATAAATAGGGATTAATGCCTTTAAGTAATACAGCTAATTGAGATTTTTTTATATTTGTTTTTAGTATTTGATTCAAACTCCTCTTTAAAATTTATCACTGTAGAATGTTGTGTTTGTCACCTTACACATGTATGTATATTTTCTAATCTCTTTGTTAACACTGCATTTCAGTGTATTTCTGTTGAGGTTTTTATTTATGTTTTGGTATAACTACATATTTTTAAGAAGTGACCTTTTGATTTGACTGTTTAGCTGACCTTAATGCTAATAAGATGGGGATGAGGTTTCTAATGAACTTGTGTATGGGAATAATGATAGATGGCTTATTTGGAATTCTACAGATGCAGCACTGCCAAGCCTGCTGAGGAGTCTTTGGATCCTCATTTAGAGAACGGTTTTATTGATTACACACAGAGAGGGAACTTTTTAATCATTTTTATGCACTGTATTGCCTGAGGTAACAAAAATCCATTAAACAAGGATTATAAACTTTGTTTTAAACTAGATCCTAAATTGTTCCTTGATACATAGTCAACATAGGCTCTATAAGATCAATCACAGTTACTAAGGCATATTAAAATCAACTTGTTTAATTTTAATTGCTCATATGCCTGACCCTCTGAGGTGTAAGTGCTCATGAGGCTAAATTACTTTTCTCCCAGACAGGAGTTTCATTTTAGGTTTGGGTTTTTTACCTGCTATATGGCATCTTAACTGCTCTAATATTTATTTATTTTTAATTCTGATGTCTTTGTCTGCATAAAAGATAATTTACTAACAGTCAGAAATTTGTACTCTGCATTTTATGCAATTTTTAAAGATTTTTCCAAACATTTATTTGAAGCATTAAAACAACTTTGTGAGTGTGCATGTGAACACACATACACCAGTAGACACAAGCTCATGTTCCACATGGATGTATCTTTACAAAATCCTGACTGGTTTTAAGCATTCAAATTAGCTTTATGATATGTTGTTGATTATATTTATATTCTTGTCAGGGCCTTACTATTTCTGAATAAGCTCCCAATTGAACCATTATTTCTAAGAGAATATAAGATGGGTTTTATCATAATTTTATTTATAATGAGCTTTTAGAAAATAAACTGTATCTTTCTATAAATTAGGAGCAATATCAGAAGTCATACCAAGAGTGTAGTTAATGTGAATACAACTGTGTCATATTGTAATTCTCTGTAGCTATATCTCTAACTTGCACTGTGTTTTAATTCTCAATTTATACCCACAGCACTCATTTGAGTCATTGACCTTTTTGCAGTTAATAAATTTTATTTGCATTTAAGCCTCCAGAACTCAGCATAATTCCTGGCAAATGGTAGATGTTCAATAGACTGATTGAATGGATGCATGGATACACATCATGAATATTTGGGACAGATTAATCTGGCATGTTGAAATAATTAAAATGTAAAAACAATTGTTGAGTTTTTTTATGGGAGACTGAGGCAAATTTCCAAACAAAAAATAATGTAAGATGGAAGGTGACCAACAGGAAGGTAGTCTAAATAGCAGTAGGATAAAGGGCAGACAAAGGGAGACATTATTGAAATAAATAATAAAAAGTCCATTTGTGGGACTTTGCTTATGCTTGTTTCTATATCTAGACAGGACAAAATCTTTTCATAGCCCTACCTAAAATATCCCTGTTCTATAAGGGAAACTAACAGCTCACTTATTCCATTAAGGTTTTCTGCATACCGGTGGCAAACCTGTTGAAATATTGATTTTATTGTTAGGTACACGTTCAATGCTAGAAGCCAACATTAAAATTTTAGTCATGAAAGGTTATTTTAATATGTCTAATGCATGCCAATTAACTAGTAAACCTCAGATCATTATTTTCTAATTTTTTTCACATAAATTGAAATAAATGTCACCAAATATTAATGTCTTGCTTCTCGCACACTTCTTTTAACTTCGATTTAGCTGCTGATCTAAGTAACTCAACCAAAAATATTTAAACACTAAATCAAATGCTACCCACAGTAACTAACTTATTAGTGGTAATATTATGTATATATTTTTAACTTCTTATGATTTTAGTATTCCTATAAACTGGTACAATTCCATGTACTTACACTATTTCATATAAGATCAGAAATGCAAAACTATTATATAGTAAATGTGTTTATTTACTTCAAATTTTGAATTGTTTTAAGATGTTTAAGTTTCTAGCCTTTCTTAGAGGCATGTATGAACATAATTAATTACTACTGATTTACTAAGAAAAGTCATGCCACCTATGTTTAAACAAAGGAAAATAAATTACTCACAAAGTTGTGAGAAATGAATATTGAATTTAATTTAGTTTTCTCATTTGTCTCCATATACTTATTCTAAGTCAACGCCATTCTATGATTCTTTTACGGAACATACACACACATACCCACATCCCCCCTCCCCCCCACACACACTTGCATGTCCACATGCACATGTGTGAGCTTTAGTGAGTTGGAACCTAATGTTTCCACCAAATTTTGGTCAAGTTGTTGCCTACTATGTGTATATAGGAAGTTTATGTTGACAGAGTACCTTTAAACAAGTTGATTATGATAACTGGAATTCATCAACTATAGTTATCTTATAATTATCAGATTTTTATTCTATTTTACTCTATATTATTGAACTATTATTAAGTAAGGGAAAAAAAGCACTTTGGGATGAGCTGTATGTTCCACGTAATTCAATATTTAGAATTTGTTAGAGGAGTCACCCAAGTGAATAACTGGCCTGCCTGTTA
The DNA here is from genome assembly GCF_000001405.40 of Homo sapiens. Lineage (NCBI taxonomy): Eukaryota > Metazoa > Chordata > Mammalia > Primates > Hominidae > Homo > Homo sapiens. Next base: position 116,613,351 of record NC_000004.12, read on the forward strand.
CTATCACATAACTTCCTTTTATCTATTCACCCACGTATCCTTCAGTTGAACAATGTGACATTTCTATATACATCTTTTCTTCTTTTTTATTTTTTTTAAGAGAGGGCTTCACTCTGTCACCCAGGCTGGAGCACAATCCCAGCTCACTGAAACCTCAGCCTTCCAGGCTCAAGCAATCCTCCCACCTCAGCCTGCTGAGTAGCTGGGACCATAGTTGCACCACATCCGGCTAATTTTTGTATTTTTTTGTGGAGACAGGGTTTTGCCATGTTGCCCAGGCTGAACATTTCTATATATTTAATATCATATTTTCCTTAAATGTTAAGCTTTGCCTAAGTGTTGCATGGATTTGTAGAGAGAAAGTCCCTGAAAGGTCACACAGACTTTGACCAAAATGAAAAGTTGGCAGAAGGTCACATACTCCTTGGTGACCTGGGGACAGACTCATTTTCAAAGTCTGACCGATTCCAAAACTCAACCATTATCTTAAGTACAAAAGGACAGGTCACAATCCTCAAGCACTGAGTATTGGATATCCAGAAAAAAATGTTACATGATTTAACCTGAAATTCAATTTATATATGTAAACTGTCTTAGTAAAAATAAAAAAAATCTTATCTTTGATGCATAAAAAAGCGAAAAACTACTGGAAGTACTAAATACTAAAATTATGTAATATGTGTTGTATTTTTAAAGCTCCCTTATTATATCTTAATTCCTATAGAGAGGGAATATTTATAGACAATATTTATTAATGTTTAAAAAGATATTAAAAAGCACAAAACAGGCTTTTCAGTTTTTTTTAATATTTCCCGAATATTATTCAGTTTCTGGTGCCTTAAAAGTATTGTGATATATTTTGGGTGGTCAGCAGGGTAGGTACTCCCCTTGCCTTTCAGAACTTACATTACTATACAGACATTTAAAAATTATTACAGGAAAGAAGTTTGAATGTGATAGGAGTAGGAAAGAGGAGGCTAACAAATTTATTATTGCTTTGATTTTATAAAATTGACAATGAGAACATGTTTTTACTCAGAAGTTCAGAAAGAGCACACATAATCTTAAGTGACAAAGACACACCAGACTGTTTAGGCAGATCATGCAAATAAACCCAGATTTCAAAAGTTGGAAATCGTTACAGCCAGTATATATAGAGGTATGTAGGAGAACCAGAAGATGAAGTCAGTTTGGCATGAAAAGACAAAAGTTCAGTTTGATTATGAAGTAATCTTTATTATGACATGAGCGAAGCAAATTTAAGTAAAAATATCTGTGATACGTTGATCAGTGTTAAGATAGTAGAGAATGGCTAAAGCAAAGAAAGAATGTCAGTATAGATGTGAATTTAAAAATCACTAATATATTTTGAACTCTCTTTGCACTTGCTGAATTAAAAAAGAAGAGAGATAAAAAGTAAAGGACAGAGCTTATATACAACATAAGATATAGGAAAGGAACATTTTTTCAACTTTATATTTAAAATGCTATAAAGTTGGGCTAATACTTCATTAATTTATTAATATTACTGCATGCTATTTCATTAATTATAAAATTTCAAAATACATTAAGGAACAAGTTGAGTATGGAATTATTCTTTTTCATTAAAAAGACTATTAAAAATTCATTCTAAAATATTATCCCTTATTTTCTTTATATCAAAAAAACCATAAACAAAAATTTAAAAAGCAAGGTAATAAAACAAACCATATTTGTCAGATGTATGCAGAAAGTGGAACTTGAAAAATAAAGATATATGCATAGAAAAGAGACACACCAGGGTATTGACAACAATTCATTTGATTATATTTATTTCAGCAAACCAAATGAATAGTTGAAAATATTACTCATGAGTAGGAACATATAAAAGATCAGTAATGTGCATGAAAGAAGAAAGAAAGAAAGAGAGAGAGAGAAAGGGGAGGGAGGGAAGAAAGAAGGAAGGAAGGAATGAAGGAAGGAAGGAAGGAATCGAGGAAAAAAAGAAAAAATTGAAGGAAGGAAGGAACAAAGGAAGGAAGGAGGGAAAGAAGGAAGGAAGGAAGAAACAAAGGAAGGAATGAGGGAACAAAGGAAGGAAGGAAGGAACGAAGGAAAGAAGGAGGGAAAGAAGGAAGGAAGAGAGGGAGGAAGGAAGGAAGGAACAAAGGAAGGAAGGAGGGAAGGAAGGAAGGAACAAAGGAAGGAAGGAGGGAAAGAAGGAAGGAAGGAAGGAACAAAGGAAGGAAGGAGGGAAGGAAGGAAGGAAGGAAGGAACAAAGGAAGGAGGGAAGGAAGGAGAGAAGGAAGGAAGGGAGGGTGGGAGGGAAGAAAGGGAGGGAGGAAGAAATCGAGAAAGAGAGCAAGAGTATTTACAGAAGGAAGGAAGGAGAAAAGAAAGAAAGAAAGGAAGAAAGAGAGAGAGAAAGAAAGAAAGAAAAGAAAGAAAGAAAAAGAAAGAGAATAAGAAAGAGAGAAAGGAAGCCACAAGGAGAAAAAGATAAGAAAGTAGAGGTAATCATAAATGAATGCACTTTATGAGATTAGGGAATGTACTAGTAAACACAGAACAAGAGATATAATATTTTATAAATCATATATGAAACTTAATTATATGATTTTTTTTTTAGACGGAGTCTCGCTCTGTTCCCCAGGTTGGGGTGCACTGGCGCAATCTCAGATCTTGGCTCACTGCAACCTCCTCTTCCTGGGTTCAAGCGATTCTCCTGCCTCAGCCTACTTAGTAGCTGAGATTACAGGCACCCGCCACCACGCCCGACTAATTTTTTTATTTTTAGTAGAGACGGAGTTTCACCATGTTGGCCAGGCTGGTCTCCAACTCCTGACGTCAAGCGATCCGCCTGCCTCAGCCTCTCAAATTGCTGGGATTACAGGCATGAGCCACCATGCCCTGCTTACTTAAACTTAACTATATGAATCTATATTCTGGCACCTGAAATTGAGAAATATGTGGAGAATGAGGGAAGATATAAAAGTAAGATAAGCACATCATCTTGCATGAAGATGTGCATAATGATATTTAATTCTAGTTATTGAATATTAAAGAAAATAAGGTTAAAAATATTCTACACTAACATTAATAATTTATTCCAAATAATAGAGGGTAAAATATCAAAGTGCATATAGCAGATGTTCAAAAATTTTTAAAACAGAAGTAGAAATATTAAAACTAAATGATGAAAGTAAGATTAACATGTTTGCCCTATCATACAACCTCATATGACTGACTGAAATATGTATAGAGACTTATAATATGCAAAAAATCCCAGAGCATGTGGTCATATCAAAAATTCATGGAACATTTACAGAAGTTCAGAGAGTTAACCCCAAAAACATCTAAAACATGGACTACAGAGTAATATAATTAAGAAATACATAATTCAAGTTAAAAATGATTTATTTCCTTAGGAATTCAAACTTATTCTAAAAAAAGACCAAACTGTCATAATCACTGATTTGCCAAGTTTCTTATTATTATTTATGTATTTTTATTGACAATTGTGAATGACCAGAAAAGACTCATCGTCAAATAAAAGTGAGAAAGTTTAGCCCATTACATTCTTCTCACACTTTTCTTCCTGTCACAGATCTCAAAGTAAAGTAAAATGCATTATTATTATCATGAAAGAAAATATGTATTTTAAAGCTTAGAAAGTACAAATAATGTAAGGAATTTAAAATTAATTTCTGGTTAAGTATGTAAAAGTAATAAACTTTTATTTAAAAAAGTAAAAAAAGGAGATTTTTGTCATTAGTATTTCTAAGCAGATTTTGACCCTAACAGTAAATAATGTCCTCATTTTTATTTAAATAATGTTCCCTATAGTGGGATATTATGCATAATACTGTGTTAATAAATTTAGACAAAATAGTTTTTTACTATTATACCTATGACTATATTTTCTAATTTTTTCTAAGATAACTTCATTAGCAATGTTTGTGTAAATATTTTGTATAAATGCTAAAAATGAAGAGTTTATTCCCTAAAACAATTACATTACATTTATCTGAAATCTTGTGCACCAAAACTTCCACTGTAAGCTTAAAGCTAAAGTCAAATGACCTAGGAATCTATATTTGACTGTACCACTTACAAGCTTTATGAGTTTGGGAATTTAATTGTGATTCTTCTTATATATGTGAAAAATGATTAATAATATATACATTTGTAGGGTTGACATCCATTCTTGTTTTAATGGGTTGGCAAAGTTCAGATTATTATTGCGTATTATCTGAACTGTTCATTGATTCATTCGCTTATTCATTCATTTAATAACTATTTTCTAAAATCCTTCTTCTATGTTTGAAACTGTTCTATGTGTTTTGGATACATTAAGAACAGAAAAAAACCTCTGGTCTCCAAGAGCTTACATTCTAGTGATTATCAGATCAAATATGTAAAATCATCTAAACATATTTGTTGTCTCATAGAAAAAGCACAAAAAACATATGTTTATAGATTTTAAAGTTTCTTAATTTTACATTATTATGACATTTCCTTAATAATTAAATGAGAAATTCAACCCGGTAGATTTCAATAAAGTGAACATGTGTGTATAATTATTTAATATCCATTTATATTTATTAGATTTATCATTTACAACATTGTGAATCTGTTTTAATTACTTCTCCTTTATTAAAAATTTTTTCTTTGATTCTGAGCCTTCCAATTCTTTTCTGTGTACTAGGTAAATGTCAACAATTTGAGTAATTAATAGGAGAGCTATTCTTTTAAGATTACAAGTATTTTTGGCAATCTGCATTGAATAATAGCTATTTTCATCTATTTGTGTTTTTCATCAAACTTACAATTTCTTGATTTGAAAAAAACTCAGAGGATGAAAATTAAATATTTGTTTAACCCCTACTATCTGCATGATGATTTAATGCCTTGAAATGCCCATAGCAACTGTGGGAAATACATATAACTAACATTCCATAGGTGAAAAAATAGAGACTACTTTGGTAAATGGAAGCATAAAGGATTGAATACTCGCCTGATTAACTCTATAGTTGATTTTTGTTTTTACACAAAGTTGAATATGAACAAGTTGTTAGAAAAAAAATCAGTATTGTCTCTGTATACATAAGTAATACACACAAAAGAAAGGGAAATTTACACAAGAATACAACTGGTACGTTTTTAGGAGTAACTGAGAGTTATATGGATTTACACCTACTTCTCAGCCAATTATGGAGCACACAGATGGTAGAGTTAAACACTTGTCCTAAGTAAGCGCTTGATTGTGTGATCTTTAAGTATCTGTGGACTGAGTTTGTGAAAATGAGTCAACTACAACTTATCATCAAACAGTCAAGGTATCACCAATTTAGAAGTGAATGTTTTCTGCTAAAAGTACTTTGTTTAGTAATACATGCCTCTTGACCCATAAGAACATTGACCAATAACTTTCACAGAACTTTTCACTGCCTTTTTGTGCAAATACCCAGAAATCCATGTTTCTGAACGTTTTAAGCATCAGCTTCATCAATCATTTTGACAGCCATTGGGCTGGATCAAAGACCCATAAAAAGTTGCAACATGGATGAAAAAACAACTCAGTAGAAAGCAGTTGAAAATGAAAATTTTTCATCATTTTTATGCAGTCTAACTTCTTGAATTTTCATGCTTCAACAGAAAAGAGAGAATGAAATTAGCAAGTACAATGACCAGTAAGAATTGAAAATATAACCTTAAAAACAGATTTGTCTGTCTTTTCTCAAACATGTTTTTGGAACGCTTAATTTTTTCTCTTTATTACTTGGATGCATATATAATACATATTTTAATTTCTTACTTGACTTCTTCTGCAATGGTGATTGATAAGGGATTCCTTCAAAACACTTTTGATTTCCTCCTGCTGAAACTTCTCATTGAAGTTACAAGCTTCATGGTTAAAAAGTAATTTTAACTTATATAAAATTCAGGAAAACTGTCTTGGTTGTATTGTTTTGCCTGTTTGTGGGTATGTGTGTTTGTGTGTATGTATGTTTTTGGTTGATTTGTTTTAGAAAACAAATACCATTTTTTTTCTAAGAAAAAAAATGTAGCGTGTTTGAATTATTTTGTGTTCGAAAGGTTTGGCTTTTGTAATTGAACTACAACCTGAACTAAACTATTTTACAGTCTGTGAATTAATGTTGCCAAAGTATCCTGTAAGTAAAAATTAACTGATAATAAGGGAGAAGACTACCCCTCATATTGTCTTATGCTCAATTTCTGCCTCTAAACAAAGAAGAAGTAAAAACTAAAAGGCAGAAATGAAATCCACAGGCAGACAGCCTGGTGCCGTGCCCTAGGCCTGGTAGTTAAAGATCGACCCCGACCTAATCAGTTATGTTATCTATAGATCACAGACATTGTACAGAAAAGCACTGTGAAAATCCCTGTCCTGTTCTGTTCCAATCTGATTAACGGTGCATGCAGCCCCCAGTCATGTACCCGCTGCTTGCTCAAATAATCACGACCCTCTCACACGGACCCCCTTAGAGTTGTGAGCCCTTAAAAGGGACAGGAATTGCTCACTTGGGGAGCTCAGTTGTTGGAGACGTGAGTCTTGCCGAAGCTCCCAGCTGAATAAAGCCCTTCCCTCTTTAACTCTGTGTCTGAGGGGTTTTGTCTGCAGCTTGTGCTGCTACAATAAGTTGAAATGACTTAAATTCAATAATATAGGAAAAGATACATTTATCTGTCCTAATAACAGAAGAATAAAATCTGTCTTTGCTTTCCCATAAAAAAGTCTCTTTTAAAAACTTACTGAATTATTTATTTATTATTTCAAATAAAAAAATATTGTTTGTCCCTTTCCAACTATTTGGCTTAAACACTCTATTTCTGACAGAAAAATAACATTTAAAGTATTTTTTCCACATATTGTCTTTCAAATTATCTAAATTTATTTTCTAATAAGTGCCATTACTTGTAAAAAGTTTTCTTAGAAATAAATCTACCTAAAATACTTGAAACACAGAGTTAGAGATCATTTTAAGATGACAAAACCTAGTGATGGCCCAAGATATTGAATTTATCTAGTTAATTTTCAACTAGATCTAACCATTAAGAATAATTTTACTAACAAAATTTTGGTGGAGAAATCCCTGAGTTTGCATGTTTGTGCAACATAATTTTAAAGGAAGTTGAAAATAATGATGCTTTCAAAAACTTACGAAAAATTTAAAAATGGTTGACAATGATAACATTTATTGAATACTCTTATGTAGTGAAGCAAAAAGTTTAGTTTTAAAAGTGACAGTTTCCCAATATATACCAATTCAAACAATTATAAAACTACAGAAAATAGAATAAAAAGGCCAGGCATGGTGGCTCATGCCTGTAATCCCAGCATTTTGGGAGGCTGAGGCAGGTGGATCATCTGAGGTCGGGAGTTTGAGACCAGCCTGACCAACATGGAGAAACCCCATCTCTACTTAAAACACAAAAATAAGCTGGGCCTGGTGGCACAAGCCTGTAATCCCAGCTACTCGGGAGGCTGAGGCAGGAGAATCACTTGAACCCGGGAGGCGGAGAGGTTGCAGTGAGCCAAGATCACACCACTGCACTCCAGCCTAGGTGACAGAGCAAGACTCTGCCTCAAAAAAAAAGAGAAGAATAAAAGAATATATTTAATATATTTAATAGTTGAAGATAAATAATTTTAGTGCTTATTTTCATTGTTATCCTTGATAGCTTTCAGAAATGATGCAACTGACGTTTGTGGAAGAAACACATCTCCTTCCTTATTATCTTCACAGTCATTGCTTGTGGGCTTTATCTATTTATTAACAGAGTCACTTCCCAAGCTCTGACTCTGCTACAAATATCGATCTTAGAATAAACTGCTGAAGGACAATGGCCCCACGAATTGCTAAGTGTCCTTAAAACAATTAGACTCTTTTGCTCTTGAACAAATGAATAGTTGAGTTTGTCAGCCAGAACAGACATGGTTGTATTGCCTATGGACAAATTAGACTCCTCAAATATGCCCTCCACGTTTGTCCTTTTTCTACTTCTCATAATAAACACACATAATGCCTTTTATTTCTATAGGCTTCTTTTCTACGAAATCTTCGTTTGTGGGTATATATGAAAAAGAAGAACATTGCATCAGGACACTTCCTTGATGAGTGCTCAATGAGAATCCAGGCTTCTAGCAAAAAATTTAAAATTCAGGAGCATAAAAAAAAAGCAATTCATAAATGAGTGAAAGGAGCACTGCAGTTATAAAACAAATAATTATTCCATAGTCACACTTGAAAGTCATTAGTGTGTCTAATTTCTGAATGAAAGATACTGAACTATTTTAAAACCGTGTCCACTCATGTGTTCCCAGCTCTGTGCAAAAACATAGCAATACACATATGACCTTTAAATGAAACACACAAATATTTAAAGTCTGGGTAATTATAAAATGTTTTCATATCTTACAATATTTAAGTAATTCACATAAGTTCATTTTTATTGACTTAGTCAGTGCCAGCACTTATACCCATTTTCTACTTATCGGTGACATGAGTTAAGACACCTGACAATGTAAACAGCAATATGATCTCATTTGTGTGGATGATTTAAAATTTTATGTAAAGTTGTGATTTTTCAAGCCATCCTCAGTTTAGGGATATCTCCTTGAGCTTGAGTAGCTCATTTTTAAACAAAATATTAGAAACTGAATTATTACTACCTGTTTATATTCTGGATCTATTATTTGACTGCTTAATGTTCATTTTCTCTCATCGATGAAAGAATGAAAACACAAAAAAGATGTTTCTGTATATACATATACATGATAATGAATTATTTCAATGAAGACTATTCAAAAACAGACACAAGGTTTGTGATGCATTCATTCACCAATTCAGCATCATTTCACATCTGTCTAAAATTAGGTACTGTGTTAGCTGATGCTTCTTGTTTCCTGTTGAGTTCACAGTAGTGGACAAAAAAATACAAACATACCTCACAGATCCACTTCAATGCAATAAATGCGCACTTGAAATGTATGTGTCCATCTGAAATTGATCTTTTGAAACAAGTATATGACAGGAGTGTGCAGCATGAAAGGAGCATGGGTCTGGGATTTGGAAAACTATTTAGGAAACGTGTACTCTGGTTTTGATACTCATTTCATACTCTAACAGAGTTAGAGATCATTTTAAGATGACAAAACCTAGTGATGGCCCAAGATATTGAATTTATCTAGTTAATTTTCAACTAGATCTAACCATTAAGAATAATTTATCTAATGATTTAACTAATGATACTCATTAGTTGTTGGAACGTTAGAAATTCACTTACATTGTTTGTGTCTTTCTTGCAAAATACAGGGTTTTAACATCATATAAATAATTTTTTAGGTAAATCTCTCACTTAAGGATGCTCCTTAATTGAAAGTTCTGATTTTGTTCGTGTCATCAAATGCTGGATATTTTAACAGCCATTATTATGTTTAAACTACAACCTTAGAAAAAAATTGTTGAAACATTATGAAAGGAAAGAATAAGAAAAATTCCTCTTGTTAATTCTAGTTGCTCTGTAATATTTGTGATTATTTTTACTCAAAATGATAGGGTGACTCTCTATATGTTGTCAAACACCCAAACCATGAGAGGTTTATTATCACTATGTATTATAAACATATTACCCTGTGATCTCAGCTGGTGATTATAGAAATATTTTTTCCATTTTTGTAACTTTCTGAATATAGATAAAATATTTGAATTCATGCACACTTACTCTTGTTTTCCTATTTAGTCATGGCATCACTTTTTCTCACTTAAGGCAACAACTTTCAGTAGTCAAAAATTTACCATAAGCAAGTGCTAGTTTGTATGTTTAAGTTTTTCTTAAAGCCTCAGTTAAATAAAGTAAAAGTATGATTTTCTAGCTTCTAACATAACATTTTTTCTTTCTGAATTTATGGTATCAGGAAAGAGAGTTTATGGAGATCTCGGAGAAGAGGCCCAGATATGGCCACTCCGCAGTTACATTAAATCATTTAAACACAGAAGCCTCCATAGAGACTTGGGGAATGGTTTTTTCTCACTGATATTATTTTTCCATTTGAAAGTCATCCTTGAATTTTAGGCCCAGAATGTGTCTAAAACAAAAGGCATTATTAATTTTATTAATTGTCATATAATAAAAGTTTGCTTTAAAGATCTTAAAATATATTATATAACAGTAAATATAATACTTCCCTATAAATTTAGAAAGCAATTTAATGCAGAAAACCCAACAGGCTCCGCATTAAAGCAAGTAGTGTCCCAGGAAATTTTACGTACAAAACTCAGATGGTCAAGCTGCGGAAGTGGTGGGGGTGAAGAGCACGTGATGCCTCCTCATGGGATGAGCCAGATCAGTGAGAAATCTGCAGGGAAATATGAGCCAGAAAATGGGGCACAGTGATCTCATTAAGAAGAATTAACAAAACAATGACAATGAAAAGCCAGAGTGTTTATTTTAAACATTCTGATAATGCACAAATTATCCATATATTTTTGGTTAATACTGAGACACAAAGGATCTTTAGAAAATTAGACAGGTACTTCCTTTTCTATTTAATCTAACTTTAAAAAACCATAAAATTTACATTAGAAAATATATTCAAATAACTAGAAAAAATGTTCATTAAAAATCCAAACTATGTAATTAACAACTGAATATTTACACCGTATTTACACCTTTCCTTACTTCTGTGACTTGCCATGATGGATGACACATGTCCCACCTTCACCAGCATGTGATAGAGAAAGAAGAAATATTGATATGTAGAAAAGAATATGCCCCATGAAACTTATGCCAGTCTGAACATAAATGGAATGTAATTTCCAGAAAGTGTCATATTTGAGAATCAGTCAGAAGTATTTGAAGTGTAATCATAATTTAACATAATTAATAGATTTTAATGGATTCGAATTCATGCATAAACAAACAAGAAGAGCTTAAGAAAAATGATTTTAGTGGTAGACAAAAATAAGTTGTCTTTGGGTAGATTACCTGGATGTAATTTTGCTTATCTTGTATAAAAATGGCAGCTTAAGAGAATGTATCTGGGCCTGGCACGGTGGCTGGCTGACGCCTGTAATCCCAGCACTTTGGGAGGTCAAGGCAGGCGGATCACCTGTGATCAGGAGTTCCAGACTATCCTGGCCAACATGGTGAAACCCCATCTCTACTAAAAATACAAAAATGAGCTGGGCGTGATGGCGGTCGGCTGTAATCCCAGCTACTCAGGAGGCTGAGGCTGGAGAATTGCTTGAACCCAGCAAGCAGAGATTGCAGTGAGCCAAGATCCTGCCACTGCACTCCGGCCTGGGCAACAGAATGAGACTCCATCTGAAAAAAATAAAAAATAAGAGTATCTACCTGACTGTGTAAGTATTGTTGTGAGTGCTGATGTATTTTTTGTGGGTGTGTTTATGAGAACAAATTTATAGGTATTCTTGAACAAAAGGGGTAACTCTTTTTGCTTTGTATTTTAAAAGGCAGTTGGGTCAACATTCCTCATTATCACATAAGAGTTCTCATTTAACACTGGTCACTTTCAAGCTAGCCCTGTTACTTCAGTGAAATTAAGAGCCACTTTACTGGACTCTTTTTGATCTGTGAACATGGGCTCCCACGTGTTATTGAGTGAGATTTGGAACCTAAAATTTTAGCACAGATTTAAACAATGAGAGTCACAGTAATTGGGTTTATAATTCTCTACTTCTACAAAAGGAAACATTGATTTCTCAATTTCAGGATAAAACAGATAATCATAAGAAAATGATTATAATTACTATCAACTAGATATCCCAAGAGATTTTAAATACATTTAGAGAAATAAGTTGTTTCACTCTCTAAACTACATCATTAGTAGTATTTCCAAAAAGTGCTTATTTTTGCAAAAGTTAGGCATAGATTTGGCAGTTTAAAATACGAAAGAGGTCTTTTTTAATAGCTTTCATTTTTCCTAGTATTTCTAATGCCTCCCCTTTGTTACTTCTTTTATCTTCTTCCCATGATTAAGAATGCCTAATTTCCTAGTATTGTTATTTGAATAATAATATTAATTTTCCACTCATGCAGTCCTGAATTTACTTGTGAACTAATTTAACAAATTGCTGTAAAAAACCAATAGAATTGGACATTTGAATCTTAGTTGTGACATCATTTGAGTGTATGTACACTTAAGAATGTGTGTATGTTTTGTCATTCTCCTGTATTATTCAACTGTTTATTTTCAATATCATGTATTTCTCCCTTTAATTCCTTTTGTTCCAAGTAGACTATGTATTTTCCCCTTTACAAACACTCTTATCTGAAACAACATTTATACACAAATATTATTACTTATCTAGCTCAACTGTGGACCTTTACATTTTTTTAAATAATTGTAGTTTTACTTTTTTCACTACATTTTTAGATTTTTTTTGTAGTTTTATTTTTTGGATTACAGATTGGGTGCTCATCAATAATTGAGCCTTTAGCTTCCTTTTTTCTAATATTTAGCACTTTAAATTCTTTATTTTAACAAATATACTTTTTAAAAATTTCCAAGTATATTTATTTTTTCTAAGATTATTATTTATAGTAATTTGAGATACATGTATACACATATTATCTCCTTAACTTTATCTAAGGGCTACTAATTATTAGTTTAGTTTTCTTTTGTTTTGAGACTGGGTCTTACATTGTCTCCCAGGCTGGAGTGCAGTCGTGTGATCATGTCTCACTGTAGCCTTGATCTCCCAGGTACAAGCAATCCTCCCATCACAGCCTTCCAAGTAGGTGAGACCACAGGCTTACATCACCATGCCCGGATTTTATAATTATTATTTTTTGTAGAGATAAGGTCTCACTATGTTGCCCAGGCTGGTCTCGAACTCCTGGACTCAAGTGATCCTCTTGCTTCAGCATCCCAAAGGCATGGCATTACAGGTGTGAGCCACCATGCCCTAATTTAGTTTTTAATTTGTCTTCATTTTCATTCACTTTCTCTGTCTCCAAATAATATGTATTCATCTACTGTGACATGGACATGTATTTAATTAACAAATTAATTAGATAGAACCCCTTCTTACTTTTATTTTCATGACTCCATAGTCAGAATTTCCCTCAGGGATAGCTTTTATATCAACAGTTAATGTGCATGCAGTACTATGTTCCAGGCGTCCCTTCCAAGGTTCAGTGTATTTTAATATATTTAGCTATTGTGAGATGATAGATAACTTGCTCAGGGTCATAATGCCAATAAATGATGGAGCCAAAATACAAACACTAGGGCTGCAGTTACAAACGTGTTGCTTGTAATCACTATATTGTACCGCCCTTCACAGAAACTGCTTTTGTTATTAGGAGAGTGTTTGATGACAAAAGCCATATCATATTACTAATCAAAAGATATCTTTCTATTAGGATACATATCATCCCTCACGCTCCAAGAAAAAAGTAAAAAAAAGAAAAGAACTATATAGCTATTTATTGATGTGTATTTTGATTGTGCATGCAGTTTTTCAACGATCAAAATATCAGATTCATAAAATGATTATATAAAATTCAGGAGTTCAGAGTTTTTTTCCCAAAAGGATAATTGTTATATTTCAGATAAGTGATATATTTCAGTTCAAAATCTGTATACACTTTGGTTAACTAGGACCTGTCAGTTCACAACCAACTAGTTAGTTCCATATAAAAATAGTAGCACTAGCTGTTTATACAGATTTTTTTTTAAATTCCACTTTCATTCTAGCTTCAGGAGGTACCTGTGCAGGTTTGTTACAAGGATATATTGTGTGATGCTGAGGTTTGCGGTATGATTGAACTCCTGGCACAGTTAGTGAGCATAGTACTCAATAGGTAGTTATGCAACTCTTGCCTCCTTTTCCACTTACCCATCTTGTATTCCCCAGCACCTATTGTTCCCATCTTTATGTCCATGTGTAACCAAAGTTTGACCCCCAGTTATAAGCAAGATCATGCAGTATTTGGTTTTCTGTTTGTGTGTTAAGTCATTTAGGATGTTGGCCTCCAGCTGCATCCATGTTGCTGCAAAGCACATGATTTCACTTTTTCTTATGGCTGGGTAGTATTCTGTGTTGTATACATACCACATTTTTTAAATCTAATCCACTGTTGATAGGCACCTGAGTTGGTTCCATATCTTTGCTATTGTGAACAGTGCCATGATGAACATATGGGTACACATGTCCTTTTGGTAGAAGGATTTATTTTCCTTTGGGTATATACTCAGTATTGGGATTGCTGAGATTAACAGTAGTTCTGTTTTAAGTTATTTGAGAAATCTTCAAACTGTTTTTCACAGTGGCTGAACTAATTTACATTCCCACCAACAGTGTGCAAGCATTCCCTTTTCCCTGCAGCCTCGCTAACATCTGTTATTTTTTGACTGTTTAGTAACAACCATTCTGACTGGTGAGATGGTGAGATGATATCTCATTGTGGTTTTGATTTGCATTTCTCTGATGATTAGTGATGCTGAGCATTTTTTCATACTTGCTGTCCTCTTTTGTATCTTCTTTTGAGGAGTAGCTGTTTATAACCTTTGCCCATTTTTTCATGGAGTTGTTTGTTTTCCTTGTTGATTTGTTAGTAATTTTTAATCTTAGCTTTTATTTGTAAGATAAATGATGTGCTGTGTATATTTTTGTATATGTGAATTATTGTTATTGTATTATGTAGTGCATTTACATGAGTGCATTATTATCAAGAAATAAAAAATTAAGATTATTTTCAAATTTTTGAGAAATTCAAAGGTTGCACTTGTGATATGACTGCCAATTATATTATCAAACATAATGGAGTATATTTACAATTTATTTAATCCAAGTTAATATAATCCTGAGAGGAACAGTTATTGCAAACAAACAGTAACATACTTTGTGCAAAATTAAGTAAAAACAAAATCTCTTAAATAATACCTTCTCTCCTGCAGAAAGAATAAAAGGAATTCTTGAATAGAGAAGAAAGGGAATATGTGCTTTCTGTATCCTCCAACTGGACATAGATATTAAAGCTTAAATCTTGCAATTCTGTTATGTATTCTAAATATGTGTTAAAATACCTGGTTAAGATCTGTCATCAATTAAGTAAACAAACTTTAGGCTAATGAGAAAGCTGTCAACAATGACACAATCTTTTCAGTTGCAAATAGCTGTTAAGAACTCCACTTGAAATGCCTGTCTTCATTGATAAAAGAGATATGATGCTTCAACTTTTATCTTAATACATCTACCTTTTTCTATTCTAAGGTATTAAAACAATCTCAATATAATTACTCAGAGTAGATTTATGAAAAGTGTTCGGTAACTTCACATTATTGGTAAGTGCAAAAGTGGAAAATAATTTTGTGATAAATTAAATATGACAAGATGGTTTGGGGATTTTGACAAGGAGTGATAAGATTTTATGGAAGTGTCATCGACTCACAGTCTGCTTTGACATGTTGGGAGTGAAAACCTAATATAGGGCAGGTCTATAAAGCTACTTGTGTAGAGAAATGACAGACATGTGCCAACACTCATGGATGAAATGAGATGGTTAGTTCCTAGACAGAAAAGGAGAGAGAGCAGGAAAGAAAAGTCATTCAGGCAATATTTTCAAGTATGTTGGGTAAAGTACATTAGAAATGATTAGAAAAAGATACACAAACTAAAATTGACTTCTGACTAAGGAAGTTTACTTATCTAGATCGTAATCATTTACTTTTTATACTTTCAGTGTTTTGACTGAAATAAATTCAGGTTAGATTAAGCCAAACACAGCTACATTTTCCTTATGAAAAACTCTCCTAATAATTTATAGGAAAACATACTGTCTCTTGAGACTTCTATATTCCAGTAGGATCAAAGAGCTTTGAACAGAAAAAATAGTTCCCATTAAAATAACTAGAAAAGCATTCGTCTGTATCTATATCTCTATATAGGTGCACATACATAGGTATATAGACAAACACATATATATGTACATGTATATTTGTGTATTTGTGTAGATATAGAGATAGATTGGAAGATATTTAAGAAGTGATGAAGCAACCAGGACTTCAGAAGCCATAATCCTGAAGGAGAAAGGGTACAAAGAAATAAGTGAAAATGGCAAGGCTCACACTTAAATTTATTCATATATTAAAAAAAACATACAAGAGGCAGAATTAGACAAAGGCAGAAATGAATGGAGATTAAGGAAACATATCATCTTCTATCTCCATCCACCTCTTCCTCCTCCTGCATACCTTTAAATACTGATCACTACCATCCTCCACACCTGTGCACACAGTCTGTCTGCTTTGCATCTTTTTACTTTTACTATTCTTGGCTTGTGAATTTTTATTCATTTTTATCCAAGAACCAATAAAAAATTCACCATTTTTTCTGAGTTTATTTTTCCATACTGATTTTGCTCACACCTTCTCTCCTTTTCAGAGACAATTAATTTCTCCATGTAAAATCCAACTGGAATGTGTCACAGAAGCTGTGAGGTGTACCAGAAAGATCACTAGCATATTGAAAGTCAAAGGGAAGTCATTTTCAATCCCATTCTTCTATTTTTCAGTATGTGACCTTGGAGAAGGCATTTATCACTTGAGAAATTGATAACTTTGGCTCTATACAGAAGGATTATATATTTTAGGTTATTACAAAGAGTAAAGCTAGCTTAAGGCATAAAACATAAGTTAATATTTTATTTTATATATGTTAATATTTTATTTTATTTACCTAATAAGCAAAATAGTTATTATAAAAACTAAAACACTTTTAGAACTTCTTAATATGCCATACCTTGTTAAAATGTATTGAAACCTTGGGAATGTGCCATGCATTATTCTAAAATCTTTTTCTAAGATATTATATTTAATACCTTTTCTAATCCTCACAGCAGTTTATAAAGCTGATAAGACTTTTACTCCCATTTTACTTTTAGAAAATAAGTACTGGCCGGGCACGGTGTCTCATGCCTGTAATCCCAGCACTTTGGGAGGCCAGGGTAGGCGGATCACGAGGCCAGGAGATCCAGACCAACCTGGCTAACATGGTGAAACTCAGTCTCTACTAAAAATACAGAAAATTAGCCAGGCGTAGTGGCATACACCTGTAGTCCCAGCTACTCAGGAGACTGAGGCAGGAGAATCACTTGAACCTGGGAGGTAGAGGTTGCAGTGAGCCTAGATCGCTCCACTGCACTCCAGCCTGGGCGACAGAGCAAGACTACATCTCAAAAAAAAAAAAAAAAAGAAAGAAAAGAAATGTTATGTAAGGGTTATCCTGCCTGATACCACAGAGCTGGCAAATACTAGAGTCAAAATTTAAACCTAGACGCTGTGACTACAGGACTCTATTTGGCTGTCAAACATGAACTTGAAACATCCTTGGTGTTTGCAATTTTCCTAAAAACTTCCTCCTCTTTTCTTTGCAATCTGCTTTGATTTTTGCTATTATGTTGGATGTTTTTTCCTGCTTTGACCCAGCTTTTGGAATTTAGATTTCATCTAAACCCTTCCATATTTCACTATCAAAACCACTACCAATTACTGAAATGTTACAACTACCACTTTCTATTCAAGTCTTGTGTTCCACTGTATTTCCACTGATTTCAACCTTCACTTAGCCAGTAGTCCTATGGATTCCTTCCATAGAAAAAGACATTTCCCTAGGTCTCCAAAGGAACAAGACAGGTAGGACTATTCATGTTTTTAAATAAATAAGCCTTAAGATATATGTGTTTAGTATTATTTAGCGCTTCAAAATACTATCAAGTGCCATAATGAAAATGACCTTGACTTGCGTAAAGAGTTTCATCATTGATTAACATAAAAACAATTTACATGTATGGACTTTCCCAAGTTAGTTTTTTCTTATTTTCTAAATATCACTCCCTTACTTGCCATATCCATGGAACATGCACTTTTATATTTATACAAACACTTTCTTCCAGAAAAAAAAATCCAAAAAAACAATGTAGGGTGACAACCCTAGTCCTATAGTAAGAGCTTTGAATCATTTGTGTAATTTTTATTTTTTAATTTATGATAGATTGATATGATAAATCTAAATGCAAAATTGAGTTTGAATTTTATTTTTACAAAATCAAGGTTTTCTGTTTACAAGTTTTTTCATCAAGATTCCTAGTAATTCATTGACAATATAAAAAGATGAAGATTAAATGAATGTGTGAAGCAGAATTTGTTTTGCTCTTTTTGTCTGAGAATAAGTTTTCAGTGTAAAGCATTAACTTTGTAATTCAAATAAAAAATTGAAGGGTTTTTAACTGAAGGTATGTAGTAAGCCTAAGGACACATAATAAAAAACAATCACTTTCTTTGATTTGTGTGGCAGAACTATTCAACAATATTGTAAAGGTGTTAATGCAAATATTCTTGCTAACTTTGCTTTTGGCACCTATAGTCCCAGTTGTAATATTCCAAAGATTAAACATCCTCAGTCAAAACAAACTAAAAAGAATAATTTTAGCAGAGGTATCTGTACTACCTGATATTCTGCTTCAATCCTCTAGTAACATAGAAAAAGTATGGAATTTTGTGACTCTGATTTAATACTGGTTCTGGATGTAAAATGATCATAAAGCCCAAGGACAGATATAGAGCCCGAAGGAAGCACAGTGTGCTGAGAATCAGCATTTATTGCTTTATGAGGTCTGAACTGTAGTAGAAAGATGCTAAACTCACTCTATGCATCTGTCATATGATAAAATACCCTTTCAGCTATACGTTATTAATCCTGGCAATGTTCTACCAAAAACAGGTTTCAGAGACTTTAACAGGACTTATTGTGAACTCCTTTACCTAGAAATATGTGAGCATGAAACAAGTAAACTCATATATATGGCCACTGTGCTGGTATCAAATGTTCATAGTAGCATATTTTTCATGAATTATTTTTGAAATCTGTATAACAGTAAGGTTGTCCACCTATAAAAGCAATTGATAGTTTATTCTCTAGTGGGGAGAAATAGATGTTCATAACTAGTCCAAAATAGTTACATAAACTCTTGGTCTAAATTTAATCACTTGCCAGCATAATAAAATCATCATCCTGTTTAGTTACTATCCTAGAGAGCAGAATGTGCATAATCTGTTTTAGTTGGACTGAATTCAAGCTGCATTTTTTTAGAAAATCAGATTTTGATATTTTTTCTGTAACAAGAAAGCCTTCCTCCAGTAATAAATCATCTTCCCAGAAGGCTCATTAAAGTAAAAGCTTCAAAGTAAACTGTGACTGGGCATTTCATAATAAGGACACTCCACTCTTGCCAGGTGTATAATGAAAATATGAGTCCCCTCTATTCTTTATCCATTAGTGGGCCAAAATATTCATTTATTAGATTAATAATTGGTGCTCTGAAAAGCACAAGGAGTGTGGCTCTGAGCAAATAAGCAACAGCTGATCATAGGTTTAAAGTAAAGATTGAGAAGTACGGGGTTTGAGAGGAGGGGACGAATTAACTTGGGAGACTGAAAGCATCATGTGAGCAAGCTTTGGACAGAAGATCGTGGGAATAGCTGCCAAAATGAGCAAAAATTAGGGAATGTGGGCAGAAATAAAAGAGGCCAAAGTGGAAAGATTCTGAGATTAGCATTTGCTAAACTTAGTTTGTAACCAGAAATACTAAAGGGGAGTTGTTTAAAAATACTAATTCTGAGGCACACCTTCATAACTTAGTGTTAATGTTATTATTTTTTTAACTCATAATTATGCTCATTTCTGGATTTGGAAGCCATTGAATTAAGGAGTTCATGTGCTACTTTATCCACTATATACATATGGGAAGCTATTTACTGAAATGTAATGAAACTGACAACACATTTTTGCGCCATTTCTTTGTAAGAATATCCAGACATAAAGCATAGAAATAGGTGAAAAAGAACATTTGAAAGGATATCATTGTTATATTGAGGAAAAGGAGGAGATGTGGGGCATGCTGGGTGTGCTAGGGTCAAACATACTGAGAACTTAAACTAAACCTTAAATGCCTTCGTTTCTCAGAAAGTTTTACATCATTTATAATTCATATCTAGAGATAAAAACTTTTATAATTGTAAAATACTCAAAAAAGCAGGGATTCAATATTTCATATACAAGCTCCATAGTTTGGCTGCTGTCTTAAGTGTTAAAAGAAAATAATTAATATGATAGACTAGTTTCTATTTTGGTAGTGGAGCAGGACTGTGACTCACTCCACAGGAGAAATGGTTAGAAATAAAGAAATATAAGGCTCCAAGAACACTCTTCCTAGAGACAAATGCTCAGATATTACTTCCTTTATACAGACAAGATGACTATGATTTTCCACTGTGCAGAGAAAAGAGACCAGACAATCACTGTAGAGCAGAGTCTGAAGAAATTAGGAGAATCACAAAGACCCAGAGAAAGAGCAGAGGTAGAGTTGCTTAATGTAGAAATTGTGGCTAACAAAATATCCAAGAAAATCATGTGAATTGAGATTGTATAGGGAGAGAGGTCCTTGCTAGAGCAGGAAATCTAAGACTTATTTTTGAGTTAGATAAGTTGGAAAAACTCAACTTTGTAAAGAATATATGAAAAGCAATATAATACGAAAATCACAAAATGGCATGTCAGTAATTAGTGGCACAAGTAATAGTCTAAACAGAATATATCATTATTAAAGGACAGCAACATAAGTTTCCTGACCAGACCATTTAGTATTTTAATGCACTACACCTGAGATGATGATCAGTAATCATTTAAAGTGTCAAAAAAGGCTAGAATCATCGACATTAGAAGAATCACTAACATTTTAAAATCTAAGGCTAAAGAAATGCCTTATTTAAATGGTATCATTTACTATTTTTACCCCTGTTTTAATGACAAGAAAATTGAGTCTTAGAAAAGTAAAGCCAGAAGGCCTTGCATTTTGCAAATTTCACAAGGCCATAGATTTGCTGCACAAAACAACACAAAAACTTTACAAAGATGAGCATGTAAACCAAAAATAAGACAACACAAGTAAAGGCACTGCTGACCAGTAACAAGGTTTGCTTCTTATGTCAAGATATCACAAAAGCATAGTGAGTAAATATTGAATTTTATAAAGAAATATGTTTGTGCAGTACAAACTATAGTTTGTTATACTTGTTGCTAAATTAATTATATTTTAAAAATCTGTATAATTTTCTTATAAAGTCATTTGGATTTTCATTGAATTGTTCCCCTCCCCGGAATTTTTAATTAGAGACCTGAACAACCAGACCCACTTTATAATTGCTGGACAAGAACAACTCTCTAGAGTAACTTCCAAGTCACCACCTACAATGTCAAGAATTACATAGTCTTTGCAAAATAAAGAAGGCTCCTGATTTAAAACTTATCAAATAACCCTCACTTCATGATGACCTAATGTATAACTGGCAGGAAGGATTTAAAGTATATATTTGAATAACCCAAAAATTGTTTTTTAAATATCTTTATAAACATATTGACATTTCAATTATATTTTTACTTCAAGATTCTACCTCATGTTACATTCCTAAAATGCAATTGCACCAAATATATGGTAAACTTAAATTTATATATGAAATGTTATATTCCTTCAATGAAATTATAACTGATGACATATCTAGGGTTATCTTTCATCTAAGTAACCCAGGTTTTCATTTTTGCAAGCACCTAGACTTTCACTTGTCACAAAAGCTTAAGATGCATAGCAGAGTAAGGAACTGAAAGACGGAAAAATTTTAACTGCTTTTATTTCTTTTTAATTTCAAGAACTCAAAGGAATTTTTGCCTCAACATTTTTTAATATAGAAAAATAAGTTATTTTGCTTGTATGCTTAGCTTAATTAACAAAGTCATATTTACTTTGAATGCTAAAATGTACTTTTTACTCTATTACATTTTTTGAGAACTCTGTCAATAGACTCAGGAAATATTGTTCTCAGAGATATTGAAAGGTTTATTTCAAGCTAATATTTTTTCTTTTGTCATATAAGAAAGCATGTAAGTTGGTCATCAATTCTCAATAATGTGTGCTATAAGCAATTTTATAATGTTTTTTAATTTGTGTCATCAAAATGATATGAATTACTCAACTCCTTACTTTATATTTAAACATAAAATATATATTTAATAAATGATTAATTTACAGAGAAAGAAAAGTTTAAACAAAGAATTCCCTTGTATTTATAAAGTACAAAAATATATTGAAGTGTATCTCCTTTAAAAATTACATACATCTTAAAATCTGTGTTTAAATTAATTTGTTGATGATAAAGTAATTTGAGTAGTTAAGAAGATATTCTTGTCAGTCTTGTTTTCTTGCAAATTGCAGAATTTTTCTATTGTGTGTCTGAATTTATATGTTTTATTAAATAAAATTAACGTTCCTTGTTGTCTAGAATGAAAGTCCATAGTAAGAAATTGCAATTAACTTGAATTTATATATAATCACTATGAGGAAATTGGAATGTAAAATGAGATCTATTCTGTAATAACAAATTTATTCCCTCTTTACTCAATAATAACACTCTCAACCCCAATCCAAGCCAATTTCTAAACTATATCAAAGAAAATGTAAAAACATTTAAATACACAACAAAACAATAAACTTTTAAATGAAGGTAATTAAAACCAAGAATCCAGATCAAGTACCAATAAGCAAATAAACACAAATATTAGTCAAGTAAGCCATATTCACAGATTGCAATTTTCATTCAGTACAGGGAAATGCCAATGGCATGTACACAAGCAGGATCACGGAAAATTTTCAAGTGTGACTAAAGAGACCTAGTTATTTATTTCATATTATAAAGTATGATAAGAAGCTCCTTAAAAGGGCAGGATTACAAATAATAATTTTAAAGCGGTAGAGAATCTTTGTTACCCATTCATTGCTGGCTCTACAATAAACAAAACAAGAAGCTGAAGTTTAAATCCAGTTATAGAATTGTACTGTGACCTCATTACATTATAAATGGAGTGTGACTTCTTAATGCTCTGATGTCATACAGGTATGATCTCACAATTTTCAAGCCCTCAGAAAAATCTGCCCTGGTCCCTATTGCCCCTGCCCCTCTCACTCCCAAGATTTGTTTTAACCGTTAAAATTTCATGTTGAATAACTTGATTTTATATTGTCTATGATAAAATCTTCTGTCAGCATTCTGTTATATTACTAGTAGTCAATGGGCATTGAATTAGCTATAAGAACAATAGAAAGCCATTTTAGTGGACGAAGATACCCTAAGTGCAATACATTAAAGCTACTGAAAATGTTTTTTAGAAACCCTAAGCCCTCTAACAAGAATTTTAAATACCGCAGTTTCTCTACATATGTATAATAGAAAAATACTCTTGATGGAAAAATAATTGTGATGCTTATTTATGATTATAGTTAAAGATGTGTTTAAGATAAGAATAGAAAGCTCAGACAGGCTAGCATTATCTGTCAGGATAAAGGCAACATCAGATGAGAATCTAAACTTTTGTCAGATGTGTCATTTCAAGCTGCCAGTTTGGGAGCAGGTGCACATAAATAAGGTACAATATAGAAATGGCCTCCAATCAAGTTCCTGAAGAACTTATATTAAAGCCATTTAACTTTTCCATACTTTTATTTCAGAGGTTGTCAGGAAAAATAGATTGGTTTCTGTCCCTTGCAACTGAAGAGGAACATCTACAGAGCCAATAACCCAAAAAGTAAAGACATTATATTCACCTTCAATTTAAAGAGGAAATCCAAGTAAAGCCAATATATAATAGGCATTCAAGGCAGAGAAAGGGGAAGTGAGAGTGAAACAGAGAGAGAATAATAGCTCTCATTCACCAAGTGTTTGCTATCTGCTGGGCTGCAACTCTGGACTGTGTTTTATAAATTAACTCAGTGAATCGTCAGAAAAAAATGCTATGATGTAGAAAATATTATTTTCATCATCCTCATTATTAGTATGGAAAACCTAAGGTATAAGTAATTTAATAATTTGCCCAAGGTCATATAGCTGATGAGTGACAGAGCCAGAAAATGACAAAAAGGCCATCTGACTCCAAATGTCATGCCTTTAGCAAAAGACTGTATTGCATGTGTTTAATGACATTTACCCAAAATATTCCTTCTTATTTTTCCCATTATTAGCTTCAGAAGAAAAAAAAAACATGTTACACAGTTATTCTCTATTGTCTTATTTCTTTGTTTCAAAAAGTGTTTAAGGTTCTCCTTCAAAGATATTGTCTTGAATAAAATTCTGTAGTCTTTAACTTTCATTCTTTTCATGTATAGCTAATGTGTAATACACATTACTTAGAGTTTATAATTATTAAGACAATTCATTTCTCTTGACCAAAGTCAAAATCTGATGAAAAGATTTAACCTTTAGTTGAAATTTTTCTCTATAGTAGTATTACTTGAAAGAAGTATTACTTAAAGCAGTAATACTTGAAAGTAGTATTTAAAAGATTATGACAATTATGACATAGAAAAGAAGATGCAGAGAATGAATTACACTTAATTAGTGACTGGTCTCAATGTGGTTGAAAAATGAATCCCATGTATCTCCCATTTGTAGATGAGTGTGGGGCAGAGATGAAATTTGTTATCTCTGTCTGTTAGTCAAGTAATTTCAATAATTTATTAATATTGTTGCACCCATATCATCTCCATTTGGAGTTTTAAAATTTCTGGATTTAGTTAATTCATCAAGCATATAATCTTTGTGCATTTGCAAGGTAGAAAGCCACACCCTAATTGTACAGGAGGAGAACAATGGAAAGACAAGCCCTCAAAGAGATTGCAGTTTGCATAAGAAAACAAGTAGAATTTAGTTAGTGAATATATGAACATAAGGAAACTTAGCAGAATGGTGCAGTCTTCTCAACACAACTAACATGCCAAATATATAGGGATCACAGACTCCATGGTCACTACTTTTTAAGTTTGAAATACTTTTAATACTTTGAATCCTCATTTCCATGGAGACAGATTTCAGGTTGTTCAGATT
Organism: Homo sapiens; assembly: GCF_000001405.40. Taxonomy (NCBI): domain Eukaryota; kingdom Metazoa; phylum Chordata; class Mammalia; order Primates; family Hominidae; genus Homo; species Homo sapiens. The sequence goes on from NC_000004.12 coordinate 116,638,313, forward strand.
TCAAGCACAATTCTGTAAAATGTCAGGGAGTTTAAAGAAAAATAAAAAACACTCATGCATATTAATCCAAATCTATTTATTAAAGGAATTTCATGTCTTCACCATATATTTTTGTGGTAAATTTAGCAGGTCCTTTTCTTCAGGAAGCAAGTTCTAAAGATTGGTGTAAAAGCTATTAATTATTAAATATTCTCAAAAGCAACCCCTGTGGTTAATTTTTAAAAAAAGCACAGTGGCCATCTTTTAATTTTTATAGAGAAATATTATTGTGTAATATGAACTGTAAGTTATTATACTTGTCTCTGTATCAATTATATAATAAATCTATCATTTTCCAATAAAATCACCTGCTTTATCACTGAATTTATTTCTCCAAAAGTCCTGTGTTAAATATCTGCACATCCCATCTTCCTCCATACTTGTTAAGACCAGCTCTGCAGAGGAGCTGTTAGGTCCTTGTCTACACAGCCTAGGGCTCTGCAGGGGTTATGTTTTCCTGGGAGGCACAGTCAAACTGATTAGATGAGGCTGTCTGTCCCCAGACATATGAGACTTGAAGATTTAAAGCTTTGATGTCACAAATATTTCCAATCACTTATTTGCAATAACCCTTCTTAATGCTAACTATATTTAAAATGTTAATGTCCTTGTTAAGATTCTATCTAAAGGAAATTTTAGTAAAAATGTTACCAAGTTTTAAAACAACAAGCTTCATAAATTTGATTAGAGTGTTATGATAAGGAATTATACAAATTTGAAAAGAAACTAGAAAATTTTTGGCTGAAAATAATTTAAAAATACTTTTAGGATTCAAGAATGCAAAAAGTTACCATAATCATTATCCTATTGTCCCAGCATCCTTTCCTCCCAGGGGAGGATGATTATTAGATCTAAGGGGCACACACATCCATTGTCTGGTCCACCCTTAGTAGAACTGTCTGATAGAAGAAACACAGAAAATGTCTATCAGCAGCCAAAAATCATTTTCGTTTTCACTTGAAGCAGCGTCTGGATCATTTATGTTGAGAGCAAAATATTGTTTTTGACACCATTTTCTCTGTCAGCATCTGGTGTGCCTTAATTTCTTAGAGTGAAATCAGAGGGCAGCTATTATTAATAGCGGTCCACAAATTATATCAGAAAAAAAAAACATAGAAACAGAGAAGGGTCATCTACCCTTATCTATGTTCCTGTAACTACAAAATGAGCACTTTAATGAACTTGGTTTCATTTTCAGAATCATAATTTATGATGGGTGCATATGCATCTTATAAAATGAGTATATGTTAAGAAATTCAACTACTGCAATAATGATAATCATCTTTACTATTTTCATGGTTCAACAAATTATTTTGGCTTTACAGCTAGTACATATCTGTTAAGCTTGCAGCAATCCTTTATTTTGGAAATATGCATCGTTCTCTATGGAATAATTATTGCCTAATGTTTACTTGTTATAATCTTGATTCTAGTCTCGCAGTAACCTTAGAAACTCAGTCTCATGATAATATGGCATTGCTTATCACACTTTTCCTGCTAACATTAGTCTAAGTTAATGAATACCATTCTCTTTTTCCTTTCAGCTATACACACATATTTTCAGATATTTTTATAAAATCTCTCTGTAGAAGTTTGAGGACCAAAAAAGGCCACATTTTTCACAAATTTATGTCGTCAAAATTCAAGGCCAATTGACTATGCCATATTCATATTGATGTTGCAGTAACAGGTATCTATGATGTCTCACCTCTATGAAAATGACATGTAATTTTATTTTATAGTACACTAAATTTCTTCACTTTGAAAGTCCTCAAATTATTCATTTGCATTTCTACAGGCACCAAGAAAATAAATGCCTAACACAGTTTGTGGTATATGGCAACACAACCACTAGAGTTCTCCCCTATTTTCTTGGAAATGTTGGAAAAACTTTGATAACTATTGTAAATTTGTAATTTTATATATATGTAATTTTTTAAAAAATTGTATAACCTATTGTATATATAATAGTAATATTTTTAAAATAATATTTTTAGAGATAGAAAATAAAACTGCTTAATTAAGCAGTATTTTTAAAATATTTTCCCAATTTTATTGTGTCTCTATAGTCATCCATCTTGATTATAATAATAATAAAGGGTCTTACCCAAAATGCATTAAGATATAAAAATCTAAGGTTTAAACATGGCATTGTTTTTTGTTCATTTGTTTACTCACATGTTATCTCTTTTCAAAAAAATTTTAAAATAGGTTAAAACAAATGAAAACCACAATTAGATTATAAAGCTTATTAGAGATAAAAACAGTGCTCAAGATGAAAATACAATTATAGGGGTCAAAATATTTACTTTGTTTGATTTTAAATTTGTCTCTTATTGTTCTAGTAATTAAGACAAGAAAAGGTGGGAGAAACAAGATCAATCACAAAGACCTTGTGAATTTGAGAAGAATAACGTTTCCCTGTGAGAAGCAAGGATTTTCTTACTATTTTACTTAAAAATATTTTATTACAGACCATGGAATAGCATAATTGAAAATGCCTTTAAAAGCATTTTGACTTTGTTTTTACAGCAAACATAAAAGGATATTTTATTCTTCCTTGGAGATATAGTTAGACATGTCATTAAACACTATTCAGAAATTTATTTATAATTTGGATTCTTCACCAAGCTTGGTAGTGTGCGGAGTCTTCTGCCTCACTCTGAAATGCTTGTTGAAATGATTAGAACTCTAGAGACTGGCATCTCAAAGTTATCAGTGGAAAGGACCCCTGATAAAAGATGTTTTGACAGAAGAAAATAAAAGTAGATCCATTGGTTCATAAAAAAATCCTTTTTGATGTTTCCCTTTATTTGGATTCTGAGCATACTGTAGGTCACCCACCAGCACCATCTGAAATAAAAATAGCAGCCTGTGTCCTTCCTGCTCAGAGAACAGAATGTAAAATATGAGAACAAATAAAAATACATATTCATAATATTGCTACAATGCATGTACTTCATAAGTGATTTTTTTTATCCTAGGAGGAGCCAATCACTACAACATTAATTTTATTTTAATATGTAAAGTTAACTTTTTAATGTGTGATAACCTATTTGTTAGCTCCTGGGCTACAATGAGAAGAAAAGAGTAAGCTATACAGAAGGAGTTGGCCAATGTGGAGCTTGACCACAGTGAATACAAAGCTCATAGGGAATATGAATAACCAAGATATACTACATAAACATAATTTGAATGTGTGATTATTTGAATCAAATAAATTGCATTTAAAAATTTCTTTCAATGTGTCTGGGAAATATTCACTTTCCCACTTAATCTGTGGTAAAATGTGCCAATGATATTTTTACCTCAGAAGAAGAAATCTTTTTAAAAAAAACCAAACACACACAATATATTACAAATAGAAACAGCTAAGTGACCAAACTTGAATTCAATAATTTAAAAAAATCTATCTTTATAGAATTGCTTTCTGAAACTTACCTCTGGTATTAAAGATGTTTCACTTCAAAACATAATTATTACTCAATTTATTTTACCTATATAAAATATTTTGATTTATAGGTTTCAGTGCTTATTATGGATATATTCAATTTGTTTTTAGCTAAGCTTTCATTACATTTTAAATGTATTTTAAAGTAATAATTTAATTAAAATATAATTATTTTATGGCAAGTAAAACCATTTTTATTTGTATAAGGATTACATAACATGCATTATTCATTTTGTAGATATGTTAAATAAAGGAAAGAAAGAAAATAGCTAAGAAAAATGAAAATATAGATGCATAACATTGTTAGGAAACCTAGACTTTCAAGGTATAAAAACCCATGCGTAAATCCACACTTTGTGTATCTAGCATATATAAAAGAAAATAAAGTTTGCCAAATATCCACTTTATTTTTCTGTAAAATTTTATATTTTATTCCAGAATATTAGAAATATCACAATGATAACTGAATATTTATTAATGTAAGTGGAGAGTGTGTGTAATTAAACTGACATTGTCTCTGAAACTTTCATTTCCACTTAAAAACAAGTGCACCATCTCAAAGTGATGAGACAGAGTTGACATGAGAGATTATCCTCAAAATTTCTGAAACAGAAAAATAAGGTTGACTACCAGATATTAAAGTATTATTAATACATAAAACATACAGAGCCTAGGTGTTATCAATACATAAATACAATCCTTTGAGCATCAATGTAATGCAATCCTTTGAGTGTCATGTCAGTGCTTAAAAAGTTTCAGATTTTGGATCCTTTCCAATTTTGAACTTTGAGATTTGAGAGTTCAATCTTTAATATAAAAACTGAAAACAAAATAATATTTAACATAAAGTGATTCATTAAATACAGTTGATTTATTTTATGAATAAATTTTACATATTTTATAATGAAAAGTAATATTTCTTACAATATCAATATAAAATAAGGAACATTTTTAATATTTTAAATTGATACCCTAGTGTGTATATACTATATTTAATATATATGCATATACTTTAGAAAGATATATATTAAAATCTTAATATAAATAATTTAAAAGCAACAGAAATATGTCAAATTTTTATTTTTATGAGATTCTGTGATGTAGTTTAATTCTTACTAAGCATATATTACACTCATAGTAAAAATACATAAGTTAATAAAAATATTCTCTTCAAATTTCTAAAGTATTAGTTTATAATGAAGCAATAGATCCAATCTATAACTATGAAGGTATGTCAAATAAAATTACAAATAGATAATAATATTTATTTGTTATTATTAGTGAAACGAATAATAATATCTGTTTGCAGGCAGTGAAAGCCTGCAGACAAATCCTTACTACATATAGCCTAAATATTTTTCAAAATTGTAGTAACTAGCCAGGGTGGTTAAAATCCAGAAAACTAACAACAGCAAATGCTGATAAAGATGTGAGGCAACAGGAAGTCTCATTCATTACTTACAGGTACGCAGAATGATGCAGCCACTTCGCAAGATAATTTGGCAGTTACTTGCAAAATGAAATACACTTTTATCATATGATCCAGCAATTGGTATCTACCCAGAGGAGCTGAAAACTTACGTCAACACAAAATCCTGCATATTTCTGTTCATAGCAGCTTTATTTGTAATTGCCAAAACTTGAAAGCAACCAAGAGATGTCCTCCAGTAGGCAAATGAGTAAATAAACTGTGGTACATCCAGAGAATGGAATATTATTTAGCACTAAAATATAATAAGCTATTTCATTATTTATTTTTATTCCAAATGAACTTTGAGAAATCAATATTCGTTTTATTCCAAATGAACATAGATACATACATATCACTAAACAAAATAAGCCTATCTAAAAAGGCTACCTACCTACCATATGATTCCAACTATATGAAATTCTGGAAAAGGCAAAACTGTGGAGACAGTAAAAGGATCAGTGATTGCCAAGGATTGGAAGTGGAAAGGAATGAACAGGCAGAGTACAGAGGATTATGGGAGATGTAAAAATAGTTTGTAAGATACTCTAATGCTGGATGCATAACATTATACATTGCACACAGAGTACACAACACCAAGAGTAAACCCTAATGTAAACTTTGGACTTTGAGTGATTATGATGTGTCAATAAAATTCATCAATTGTAACAAATGTACCACTGAGGTTGGGGATGTTGATGATGAAGGAGTCTATGCATGTGTGGAGGCAGGGGTTGTTTGAGAAATCTCTGTACCCTCTCAATTTTTCTGTGAACCAAAAACTGCTATAAGAAAATAAAGTCTTTAAAATATTTTTTTAAAAACAAAAGTAAAAACTCAGAGATTTATACTTTTTTTGATAGAGCTACTTGGATTCAGGTATGTCAAAGTGGCCTGGTTTTGACACTATTCTGTCTCTCTTTGCCCTGAGATGCTCTCTGCCCATGTTTTCCTTTCTCCTTTATTCTTCTATTTTCTTTACAGCCAAATCATGGCCTTACCTATCCCACCTCTCCCTGGCTTTCTACGAAACCCCCCACTGGTGTCTTCTTTCTCTGATTTGTCCTGCACCTAATCATTCTACACCAGACAGTCCAAATGTAGATAACATACTTGTGAGCTATATTCTATATATTTTAGGTTAAACTTCATAATGTTTATACCTATTTTAGTGTTGTTACATATCTTTGCTATTAGAGAGTGGTGATGGAAATTCCATTATCTTTTACTCTGGTTTACCCCTTGATATTTTGCCACTGTGGATTCAGTGCCCTTGAGAGTAAAAAATTATGGATATTTGATGTTCACAGAGTTATACTGGCTATTAGATTTCTGAATTCCACAGTAGGCTTAAATAGATAAATTACAAAATTGAAAAAAAAACACTTTTGATCAACATGGTTATAATTGATCATTTCATACCAGCCAGTTACTGATTCCTTCTGGCACACTGTAGAAAACTTATTAAAAATTAGTTCTATTTTCCAAGAGATGTGGATCATACCTGTAATCCCTGTCTGTCAAGAAGCCAAGGTTGGAAGAATAACTTGAGCCCAGGAGTTTGAGACCAGCCTTGGCAATATAGCAAGACCCCTTCTGATGTGGTTTGGCTGTGTCCCCACCCAAGTCTCATATTGAATTGTAGTTCCCATAATTCCAACATGTCATGGGAGGGACTGGTGGGAGGTAATTGAATCATGGAGCCAGTTACTTACATGCTGTTATCATAATAGTGAGTGAGTTCTTACGAGATCTAATGGTTTTATAAGGGGCTTTTACCCTTTGGCTTGGCACTTCTCCTCACTGCCACCCTGTGAAGAAGGACCTGTTTACTTCCCTTTCCACAAGGATTTTAAGTTTCTTGAGGCTTCCCAAGCCATACTGAACTGTGAGTCAATTAAACCTCTTTTCTATATAAATTACCCAATCTCAGGTATGTCTTTATGAGCAGTGTGAGAACAGACTAATACAGTGAATTGGTACTGCAGAGAGTGGGGTACTGTTATAAGGATACCAGAAAATGTGGAAGCTATTTTGCAACTGGGTAACAGGCAGAGGTTGGAACAGTTAGAAGATAGGAAAATGTGGGAAAGTTTGGAACCTCCTAGAGACTTGGAGTGCTCAGAAGACAGGAAGATGTTGGAAAGTTTGAAACTTCCTAGAGACTTGTTGAATGGTTTTGACCAAAATGCTGATAGTGATATGGACAATGAAGTGCAGGCTGAAGTGGTCTCAGATGGAGATGAGGAACATCTTGAGAACTACACTAAAGGTTATGCTTGCTATGCAAAGAGATTCACAGCATTTTGGCTCTACCCTAGGGATCTGGGGAGCTTTGATATTGAGAGAGATGATTAAACATGATATTGGAGAAACATAGCTTAACTACAAAGAAAAACATAAATGAAAAAAGGAATTACAAAGCAACCAGAAAGCAAACAACAAAATAACAGTATAAAGTGCTATTTATCAATAATAACACTGAATGTACATGGACTCAATTTTCCAATTAAAAGATATAAAGTGGTCAAATTGATAATAAAGAAACATGACCCAACTATACACTGCCTACAAGAAACCCTCTTCACCTACAAAGATGTACATAGACTAAAAGTGAAAGGATGGAAAAAGATATTTCATGCAAGTGGAAATGAGAAAACAACAGGAGTAGCTATACTTATAACTGATGAAAGTCAAAGACTAAAAATAGACAAAAGAGATCACCATATAATGATACAGGGGTCAATTCAGCAAGAAGGTATGACAATTATGAATATTGATGCACCCAATACTGGAGCACCTGAGTATATAAAGCAAACATTAGTAGAAATAGACTGTAATACAAGACTAGTAGGGGACATCAACACTCTACTCTCAGTAATGGACAGATCATCCAGACAGAAAAATCAACAAAGAACCATCAAGGTTAAACTACACACTAGACCATATAAATCTAACTAACATTGACAGAACATTTTACCAAATTGCTGAAGAATATTCATTCTTTTTATCAGCACATAAAACATTTTCACAAATAGATTATATCTTAGGTCTTAAAACAAGTCAAAAAAATTAAAAGAAGAAAAAATCATATCAAGTATATTTCCTAACCACAACGGAATAAACAGAACTCAATAAGAACGGGAACCTTGGAAACTACACAAACACACAGAAATTAAACAACATGCTCCTAAATGAACAACAGGTACATAAAGAAATTTAAAAGGAAATTTTGAAAATGTATTAAAACAAATGAAAACGGAAACACAACATACCAAAATTTCTGGGATATAGCAAAAACAGTATTAGGAGGGAAGTTTATAGTTATTAGCACTTATATTTTTAAAAATCCTAGAAAGACTTCAAGTAAACAACCTAACAATATACCTCAAAGACCTAGAAAATCAAGAATAAACCAAATTCAAAATTAGTATAAAGAAAGAAATAATAAAGAAGAGAGAAGTTGAAATGACATAGCACAATTGATAGCAAACAGTGAGAGGTCAATAAATACTTATCAAAACAAACAATTTGGGAATTCATTTGTAGTGCAGGCTATGGTGTCAGGTTTATAACGTCAACATGTGTAAAACTAGTACTTCACTCTGCAGATGAAATTTATATTTGCAATTCTAAGGTAGCCAAAAGTACTTGATTTGCACTAGCTATTATAATAAGCAGAATAACAATCCCTATTAGTGTTTAAGTCCTAATAACAGAACCTGTGACAATTATTTTACCTTAATTGTCAAAAGGGACTTTGCAGGTTTGATTAAGATTTTGAATCTTGAGATAAGTTTTATCTTGGATTTTTCCACTGTTCCTGAGGTAATCAAATTGAAGGAGGCCAGGGACAAAGGAGGTGTGACAACGTACCCACAGGAATGAGTGATGTGACTGTGAGCCAAGAAATGCTGGCAGCCTCTTGAAGCTGGAAACTTCTAGTACAGATTAGGTTTTTAGAGCCTCTAACATGAATGCACCTCTGAAGACACCTTGACTTTAGTCCTTTAAGACTCATTTAAGCCTTCTAATTCTGATAACTGTATGATAACAATTTTATTTTGTTTTAAACCACTAATGGTATGCTATTTTTTCCATCAGGAACATTAGGAAATATTAGAAACATGAGGAACATTGGGAAACTGATGTAGTTATGAACCAGTAAACATGCATTATGACTACATAAGTGCAGATGTATCAACAGACAATGTGCGTGGCTCCAGTGGCGCAATTGGTTAGCGCGCGGTACTTCTAAGACAATGTGCACGTGATATATATATTTTTTTAGTGGCACAAATCTGAAAATTTAACAGTGATGGGTAATTAAAATATTTAGAAAGAAGAATTACATATTATGTTAGCATTAACAAAACTATAAGTGTTGAGGTATACATTGTTTTCTAGATTTTAATTTGGGTAGAATTTGATTAAAAGTATTACATACAAAATTTTATTAATATAAAAAAATTTAAGTCAAAACTTTTTCTAAAAAATATTTAATTGGATATCTCAGATATTGATACCTCTGGCCAAAAAATGCAACGATAAATCAGTCTTGTGAAGTATTTCTAAACCAAACTCTCAATATCATTTTAAGTGGCTGTCTATCAATTCTTCCTCCCTTTCATTCTGTATACCTCTTTCTCTCTCTCTCCATCTCTCTCTCTCTTTTCTTTTATTTTTCCAAATTTAATAGTAGATGCCAAAAACTAGACATATTAATTTAGATCTGCTTTTATTGCAAACACAAATTGAAAATAAATGCCTAAGTAGTGTGTGTGTGTATGTGTGTGTGTGTGTGTGTGTGCGTATGTGTTTAAACAAGTGATCCCTTAAACATTATACCCTGCATAGATATACAGCTAAAGATGAGATGGAAAGGTATGTGACATAAGAGAAACAGACTTGCTTCAAAGGTGGTGATGGACATATTTTCCTTTGAAGGACTATGTTTATCTCATGACATGCTAATTCTTCTCAACCCTTTTGATTTGAATTAGAATCACCTCTGCCCACTGCACATCACAAAATGACCACGTGGCTCAAATCAGGGCACGTGGTTATCTTACAACTATCATATAATTAAAACAGCTAGTCAAATTCCTCCCTAGAAATTTTGGGAGTGCTCTTTAGAGGGATAATCTGTACTGCCCTAGAATCATAGCCACCTTGCTACCACAAAAAGAGAGGATATCCTTTTATAAAATGTGGTATAGGTAAGAAAGCAAATAAAGGGAAGGAACAAAAAGAGAGAGAGGGAGAAAATAAAAGTGAACACAGCAGTATACAAAAGTCTGATGTCATCATTCAAAACTCTGCATCTAGCTTTGCCTAAGTCCCCCAACTCAATTTACCAGGTATGTGATATACCAACTTGAGC